>NC_000003.12:154008604-154311634 GCF_000001405.40 Homo sapiens
TAAGACCTAGAATTTGCTAGCACAACAGGATGACTATACTAAAAATAATTGAATTGTTCTTCTTAAAATAACTAAAAGGATATTAATATAAATGCTTGAGGTGATGTATACCCATTTACCCTGATGTGATTATTACACATTGCATGCCTGCATCAAAATATCTCATGTAACCCATAAATATATATACCTACTATGTACCCACAAAAGATAAAATTTTTAAAAAACAGTCCTTCTATTACCATTAATAAGCAATTACAAAATGTAAAAGAAAAAGATACCATTCTCTACAGCAATACATCAAAGGGTACTTAAAATTAACACAAACTATGCAAGACTTTTATAGAGAACTTTAGAAGACATTATTGAAGATCTGATTAAAAGAACAGTGATACTATATTTATGAATCTCAGGGATCAACACCTTAAAAATGTCAAATGTCCCCAAGTTAACATAAAAGTTTAATGTAATTCCAATCAAAATCCTAACAAGGTCTTCCATGCAATTTGATAAGTTTATCCTAAGAAAATATGAAAGATCAAATGGGCAAAAATAATGAAGAAAAAATTAATGAATAAGAACTAAAGACCAGATATGAAGACATTTATTGTAAGGTTTTGTCATTCAAGCTAGGAGAGCACTGGCAGAGATAAACTAGCAGACCAGGAGCAGAATAGAATCCAGCAAATAGACACAAGAATATGTAAACTAGATATATGACAGAAGTGGCATTGCCAATAATTCAGTAAATGGGGCTATGACAATTGGTTATCCAAAGGTAAAACATTAAATAATATGCCTATCCTATGCCATACTCCAAAATAAATCCCAAGGAATTAAAGCCAAAATGTTAAAAACAAAAATTTTTAATGTTTAAAAGAGAATATAGAATATGTTTATAACCTTGTTATAAAAAAGAATTCTTAAACAATACAAATTACATAAACCACAAAGGAAGATATTAATAAAGTGGACTTTAATACAGCAAAGGGTAAAGTCTGAAAGAAGGTATTTGCAACACGTCACTGAAAAAGAACTAGTACCTAGAATAAATGCAAAAATTCCTGAAAATTAATAAGAACAATGTTCACAACCAAATTTTAAAATAGGTATGGAATTGGAACATATTCAAGTCACAGAATAGGAAATCTAGATGGCTAACAAACATATGAGAAGATAATCAAACTGACCAACAACCAGAAAAACACAAAATAAAAGAGTAACATTTACCATTTCCCACCCATAAAATTAATGAAAACGTGGCGACCTGCCAATACCGAGGTTTGGCAAGTATGTTGAGAAGCAATCACAGAATTATAAAATTGGTGCAAATACCTTGAGAAGCAACTTGTCAATATCTAATAAAGTTGGTTTACATACCCTGCATAACAAACTACTCCAATAGCCAGTGATGTAAAGCAGTAATTATGCTCACAGCTCAGTTAGAAAATGGATGAATGTTACTGTATATTCATATAAAGGCCTACTATGTGATACTTTAAATGAATGAGCTAAAGCTATATGTATCAACATAAATAAATCTCTAACATATATTTGGAGGGAAATAAGTTGCAAAAGAACGATATTTAATATAATACCATTTATATAAATTATAGAACCGTGAAAAACAATGTTCCAGGGTGCTTAAGATTAAATACTTGCATGGTAAAAAGTCATGCACAAGAGAAATAAACACTAAATTCAGGATAATGGTTACCTTTGAAGAAGAAACAAGAAAAATAAAACTAAAGAAGGGCATACAGGGTATAGGGGATCTTAACTCTACAATGTTTAATTTATTTCTTTATGATGTTTTTGAAAAAAAGATAGCTGAAGAAAACATGCCAATATCTTAAGATTTGTTAAAGCTTAGTTCTATATGTACGTCAGCTCATAATATTATTTTGTAAATTTGAAATATTTCTTAATTTTAAAAAAGAACTAAGATATATAATTATAGCCTACAACTAAAATGCTAAAAACTTATACATACTCAGGTAACAAGAACTTTACAAGAATATGAGAAAATGTAAGCAGAGCTATTGAGGGAATATTTTGCCATTTTAATTTTCATTGGTGGTGTTATAATACATTTTTACAATAAGAAGTTATATAAAAGATCTACAGAACTTAGATGGGTAAACTGAAAAAAGTTAAAAGATCATTGGGGTTCACGGTTGTTTTGGTTTTTATCCTCCCCTAAAAATATTTAATCAAAATATAATACATTGTAGTAGATTTAGCTCAATTTTAGATAATACTTTATCTGATCAATTAATTTAAGTAACCAACATAGATTAGTCTAAGTAGAAGACAATCTTTTTTAAAAACATCTATAATATATTATATCCTTTTTGATTGGACTATCCATACACACTCTTTAGCCTGTAATCTACAGATGCAGTCTTTTGTCCATGGAATATTAAATAAAATGTTAAATTTGAACCAAATATGGCAAGAGCATTTTCATGGCCCTGTGTGTTTATTATAATAGCCTGTCAGACAAGCAGATTAGCTGACACAAAAACACCACTTCCAGAAAAGTGATTTTGGGAAAGCCCATGGATATTCCGACGGTTTCAAATTCCACAGTAGTCCCTCTAGACAGTTAATCGGCAACATATTCTATGTCACTCCTTCAGGCATCTGTGCTAGAACCTGTATCAGCCAAAAGTCTATTTGCTTATATAAAAACCTAAGTAATAGTTTGAGGTCATGCTGGGAAAACTCAGAGCCAATAAATTCAGCCCCACTGTACTTATGTCATGGTCTGCAGATGATGGTGCTGGCCCGAGGTGCCCATTTACGGTCCAACTGTACAATAGACATATGAGAAAACACCGCAAAACTTAAAAATACCCATTCTGTTATGTGTTTTCTTATGACACAGTCACCACACTTGGAAGAGTCAACCATATTGTCAAGAGGAGACTGGCTTGGCTTGAGACAAGAACTGGGTGTGCCCAGCAGTGCCAGGCTGCCGCCAGATGGGAAGCCGTAGTTGACTTCAGAAAAATATGTATCAGGAGTCAAGTAGAACCCCAGCCACAGAGTGAGGTTCAAGGGCACAGCTTAAAGCCCTAGTGATATAGTAGACTGAGAAGAAAAATGCCGGAACACAGGAGAAAAATAAATTTAGCACCAACCAGTTTGTAAGGCAGGACCTGGGGCACATGGATCAAGTCATTCAGGTATCAATTGTGAAACAGACCTTTACTGAGGGCCACTGTATGCCAGGCTCTGTGCTGGGTGCTGGACACAAGGACCCACTTTTTTTTTTCTTTTACCAGGGCCTAAGAATTACTATACTTTTATATGCAGGTAAGGTTATTGAAAGTCTACAAGATACTGGTAACAGAGATTGCTACTGCTGAATTAAAGGTAAGAATTAGGCACTAGTGAAAAAAATCAGGTATATTTTACCTTTGCAATCTTCAGTAATACTTCACTTTATCACTATGAGCTTATATTAGTTTAAGCGTAATTTATAATTACATCGTTTCTTTAAAATAAAATGATTGCTACACAATCACATTTTCAGATGTGTGAACTGAGGCCTAGAGACATGAAGTGACATAAATTTACATGTCAAATTAGTGCTACAGCCAATGGTAGAACTTGGGCTTTCTTGTTCCAACTAGTGTTTTGTTTTATGTTTTTGTGTTTGTTCTGTTTATGTTTACACATTTTGATCAAGATATATACCGTAAATATAAATATATTCAACTGGATGTGGGCAGAGTCCAGGAAACATTTTCTTAAATTTTGAGAATTAAGGAAGGAAACTATTTGATCTATTATAAATTGCTTTTAAGGCATATTTTCATAATGTTCTATTTTAAAGACTAAACACCTGTGTTGGTTTTAATAATCACATTTATGTCTGAATTCTATAAATACTGCAAAGTAATGGGAACAGCATGCAGCCAATATTGCAGAAACATATTAAGATTTGGTAGAGAGCTTCCATTTTACAAGAACACAAACAAGAACATTAAAGCCTTGCTCAAGGAAAATTTGTTCAAGCTTCTTCAAAAATTGTCTCTAAAATGTCAGAAACAAGTCTAATTTACCAAGTCCTGCTGTCCAGCTGGGACTTTGCATCATTCTTTCCCGTCATGTTGTTCCTGGGCCACACCAACCTTCACACTCTCCCACTGTGTTCGCCACTAGATTTCCTCAGCTGATTTCAGTCAATAATGATTGCATTCAAGGAGCCCTGCCCACGTTCAGCTTTCAGGAATACTTACTGATTTGACACTCTCATTTTTGCTTTTGCTTTAAATCCTCAGCCTTAATTTGTCTATGTTTTTATCTTCTATCTAATCTTATTTCTTGATGATTATTTAGTCAGATAAAATTGTAATTTGATAGGCTGTATTTAAGATTCACAAAAATGTCATTACATTTTTCTTTCCATTTTTCTTTTACTTAATGTTGGTCAAAATTAAGTGGGAGCCGGGTGCGGTGGCTCACACCTGTAATCCCAGCACTTTGGGAGGCCAAGGCAGGTGGATCACCTGAGGTCAGGTGTTCAAGAGTAGCCTGGCAAACACGGTGAAACCCTGTCTCTACTAAAAATACAAAAATTAGCTGAGTGTGGTAGCACACACCTGTAATCCCAGCTATCACTTGATAATCACTTGAACCTGGGAGGGGGAGGTTGCAGTGAGCAGAGATCATACCACTGCACTCCAGCCTGGGAGACAAAGCAAGACTCCATTCCCGCTCCCCCCAAAAAAAAATTAAGTGGGGATACTGGAAATGACTAAAATGTATAGACTCCTAGATTCAATGCAGGCAATCAGGGAAACTCCTAGCAAGGGCATGAGATGACATCAAGGGATCATGGCAAGAGGCAACAAGTGGGAAATCCAGCAAGTGGGTAAGGTTCAGTATTCACAAACAGGAAATAGAATAAGCAATGGACAAGAAAGGAAGGCTGTTAGAGAGGTCCAGTAGCAATTACACTAAAGATATAAGAGTACTATATAGGAAATAATGATTATCAATGTTCACTGCCTACCTGATGTCTGTTTCCACTCCCTTTCTTTGCAAAAAGAAAAAAGAAAGAAAGAAAAGGAAGAGGGGAAGGAAGAAGAGAATTAGGAGAAAGAAGGAAGAAAAAAGAAGAAAGGTAGGAAATAAATAAGTGTTGTTTCAATAGTGATGTCCCAGGTAAATGTTTTTATTTTTCAGCCTTTCTTATAGCGAGACATGGTTGTGTGGCACTGACTGCCTGGAAAATTGCATTAAAGGCCCAAATTCTTCACTCTTCCTGTGGCCATGTGGTTTGTCATGGAAATTTGCTGTGCTCTCCAACTCTGACTCTGAGTTCATCCATGTAATTTGTTTTGGCCAACAGAATGATCCTTGCCAATTCTAAGCTTGGCTTTCAAGAGGTTTCAAGAGGCTTTGCATATATATATTTGCTTAATCTTGCACCTCTGCTCTGCTGGGATAGTCTCCCGGTTCCAGGAAGAGGAAAAGAAAATGACGATGCAGAGCTGACGCTTGAATAAAGGTGCCTCAACCAAACCCAGCCTCATCCAGCCTAGAGCACAGTTTCAGCTAACGTGCAAATGTTTAAGGGAGCTCAGCAGAACTCAGCAGACCCACTCCTATTAGCCCGGCCCTGATTAGCTGAATCCCAGATCATGATGTATAAATGTTTATTGTTGTATGCTATTGAAGTTTTGTAGTTGTTTGTTATGCATCAAAAACTAATATGCTGATAAATAAGACACATAGAAATCCAATAGCAGAGAAAGGAGAGATATTAAGAAAGCCTTTTTCCCTAAAACAAGAGTACTGCATTTACTCTTTCCTCATCTCGCTGCCTTAAATCAGATTTAATATCTGAAGGTGCAAAAGTCATCTTGTGATCAAGTGTATATAAATAAAGATGCTAAAGATGGCGGGGTAAAAAGACAGAAAAGCTCTGGTCTCTGATGGCATTGTGATGCAATGTACAAGTCCTGGTTTATCTAATTCTGGATTAGGTATGAGAAATGGAATATAAAACTCTGATTTGTTAAGCTACTGTATTCAAAGTTTCTGTTATAGATAGCAAAAAACATCCTTAACACAAGAATCAAAGCATGACTCCATTTCTGGATGGGGCATATGGTGGAAACAAATAGAAATATACCAGTGAGTGAAAACAAATAGTAAAGGATAGAACAAGGAGCAGAGGAGACCTGACACCAGACCACAGTTCCTACTGTTTTAGAATTCATTATTTCCAGTTCGTAGTGACGGGACTGAGCCCAGAGAAAGGGAAGAGTGAAGCACAACTGTAGAATCCTAGAGAAATAGGGACACGAACAAATAATTATATTAACATTGTCAGGTTTAATTTGATCAATTGGCCACATGTTTTAGGACCTTAGGCTATTTGGGGCCTCAACCTTTTTCATTTCTTCTTTTAAAAACATTTCATTACTCTTTTTTTCCCTAATACTTTTTCTTTCCCTTGTTCTTTTGATATCTGTATCCCTTTGAATTAGCATTGTTTTCATGGCTTTTTTTTTAATCTGTCAGTCCCTTTATCCATTAAATACAACCCTTTGTGCAATGAAATATGTACTTTTACAAACAGAATTTAATTCTTTAAAGTAGCATAGAAATGGCATAGCATGTTTTCATGACAAATTGTAAAAACTGAATAATAACTTATAGTAACCAAAGAAAAGATAAATTCTTCCTAAAACCAGCTGAAATTTCACATAAAATCTTTCTGCGATTTATAGCACAAAAGAATTGTTATGAGTTTCTTAAAACAATTTTAAGAAACCGATGTGGTATAAATGTGTGAAAATACAAGTCAAATGTGAGCAAACATTTGAGAAATGACACAATCTAAAGCCTTTCCTGTCCCTTTTGCCAACATACTTTCCTGTAACTGGCTTGCCCTCAGGCTACTGGACAAGTAGCTCCGACTTTCAAAAACTGTACTAGTTCTTCAACCTGCCAGATGATTTAATAATGTTCTCTCCAAACGTGGTTAATGTACAATAAGACAAAGAGGTGATTTTCAGATCCTTTTGTTGTTGTTGTTATTCAAACCTAATGTTTGGGATTTCATTAACACAAACAGATAAATATATTGAACATGCTCTGTGTGTTCACATTTGAGCCACAGCAGGAAAGAAAAACAGCAACGTCCATGTGATTTCTTCTTGCTGCCTTGGGACATTGGAGCCTTTGAGGATAATAACACGATAAATATAGGATAACTCTAATGGGTATAGAATTGAATTTCTACACAGTTAAATGGATGTATTAATTAGGTTTCTTTGGCTGCAGGCAACAGAAAGTAATTCTTGGTAACTTGGTCGGGGAGAAAGATACTAAAAATCTATGAGGATAGGCCGGGTATGGTGGCTCAGGCCTGTAATCCCAGCACTTTGGGAGGCCGAGGCCAAGAGTTCACAACCCACCTGGCCAATGTTGTGAAACCTTGTCTCTACTAAAAATACAGAATTAGATGGGTGCAGTGGTGCATGCCTGTAATCCCAGCTACTCAGGAGGCTGAGGCAGGAAAATCACTTGAACCCGTGAGGTGGAGGTTGTAGTGAGCTGAGATTGCATCACTGCACTCCTGCCTGGGAGACAGACTGAGTGAGACTCTGTCTAAAAAAAAAAAAAGTCTATAAGGATAGTTCAAAAAATTGAATAAAAGCTACATAGAACAAGGCTTCAGGAAGGGCAGGAACTGAGGAAGCTCCAGGGATCTTAGTAACAGTAATTAATATGCTATTTATTGAGAGTATAAGTACCAAGTATAAATCAGTCCCAACTGGTTATTCAGGAAAACAGCATCCAACGCCTAGGGGAAGACTAAGGTACCACTCGCAAAAGGATTGAGGGAGTTTCCCCAAAGGAAAGTTAAGGACTATTTCAAAAATAACAACCCAAGAATGTTAAGCAAAATCAAGAATGTCACCATAATGAAAAAATTACAAAGGCCCAGATAATGATAAAATTACAAAGGCCCAGATTTCCCGAGGTACCAGTTAGGAGAACAGAATGTTACAGAGAGATCTAAGATCAAAACAGAGTTTGCTTTTTTTTTTGTTTTGTTTGAGTCTTGCTCTGTTGTCCAGGGTGGATTGCAGTGGGCAATCTGGGGGCTCACTGAAACCTATGGCTCCCTGGTTCAAGCGATTCTCCTTCCTCAGCCTCCCGAGTAGCTGGGATTACTGGGCATGTGCCACTGCGCCTGGTTAATTTTTGTATTTTTAGTAGAGATGGGGTTTCACCATGTTGGCCAAGCTGGTCTCGAACTCCTCACGTCAAATGATCTACCTGCCTCAGCTTCCCAAAGTGCTGGGGTTACAGGCGTGAGCCACTGTGCCTGGCCAGGAGTTTGCATTCTATTCAAGGGATTCACCTACTTTATTCCTCCTGATATAAAGGACAGGAAGTAATATGTGTAAAAGAATTTTCAATTTCAAAATTAGCATAAGTCATCTTCATCTCTAGAGAGGAAAGGGATACAGTGAAGCTTCTGCAATTGTTCTTCCTTGGAAGTACAATACTAGTTTTTAAAACTTTTCTCCTTTGAATACAGAATGTTCATATTGCTTTCACACTGGAAGTGGATAGTTTTATTATATCATCTATATCATAAGACATTTCTAAACCTTTATTTTTATAAGTATAAGCTAAAATGCAAAATGGGCTACATTTTATAAAAGTAATTATTTCATTTCATTAAATTGATGGGAGATAATTAAATGCAGAGATTAGCACAATTAGAATAAATTAATAATTGTTTTAATATTCTTCTGGATCCAAATCAGTATTTCCATATAATAACAGTGGAATGCACAATCAGGTATTAAATGCTAAGTCAATTAATCATGTTAAAGGTGCTGATTTAAATGCCAAAAGAATTAACACGACCTTTCATTTATCAAGAACTGCTGGCATTTTGAAAAGATTTAGAAAACACTGTTTTGAAAATACTTCAAGACTCTTAGGAATCATTTGAACTTGTTTCTTTTAAAGATAGTCTTCTCCTCTAATGAAATATTGCAAAAAGAGCTAAATGTTTTTATGGCGGAACATTTAAGCATCCCTCCAAATTGAAAGAATCATGTTAACAGTCAAAAGCTGTTTTGAAGATGGACTCTGTGTGTGTGTATGTGTGTGTGTGTGTGTGTGTGGTTGTGTGTAAGTGTCTCAACTACAACATAATTTAAAATTCTGTTACATCTGGACCTAAACTTCAAGGCAGGGAAGAAGTTTCACCAGAAACCTACTTTTTCGGAAATGTTTAAGAGCTAACTCATCCTAAAGGTGGCAAAAGTGAAATAAGCAGGGCCATGGCAGGCATGATTCTAAGGCAGCCCCTGAAGACTGTCTGCCCTGATTCTTGGACCTCTGAGTACAATGAGCTAACATGTCTGGATTATGTTATCTTATTCGGCAAAGGGATTCTGTAGACATAAAGTCACTAATCAGTTGACTTTGAGTTTATCAAATGCAAAGTTATTCGAGTGGGCCTAATCTAATCACACAAACCCTTGAGAGGCAAAAAATTTTGTTTGGCTGGTGGCAGAAAAAGAAATCAGAGAGTCAAAGCACAAAAAGAAATCTATACACCATTGCCGGCTGTGAGGATGGAGGGGCTGTGGTCAAAAACTGGAGGGAGACCATGAGGAGTGACAGTGACCCCTGGTGGACAGCCAACAAGGGAGTGTGGATCTCAGTCCTACAGTCACAAGGATGCTAAATTCTGCCAACAATTTGAATGATCTTAGAAGCAGATTCTTCCTCAAAACTTGCAGATACATAAGCCCAGCCTGGCTTATCTTTGTTTTGGCCTTGTGAGACCTATGCAGAGAACCCGGTCCAGGGTGCCTAGATCTATAGAACTGTGAAATAATAAATGAGCATTGTTTTAAGTTGCTGAATTTGTGGTAATTTGTTATGCAGCAATTGAAACTTGTACATGGGCATAAAATGAAAGTGTTCTTTATCAAGGAGGATGGCATGAGACTGTCATTTCAGTTTGTCTCCCAGTGCAAATGAGTCTCTGGATTCCTGTTTGAGTCCTATGGAGAAGAGGAGGAGATTTGGGGTTAAATAGCTGCTGACACCATTACATGGTATAGATAGGACAAACATAAGCCAAAAAACTGAGCTGCTTTGCATACAATGTGCCATAAAATAATCCATGAAAACAGTTGGAAGAGGGATGAAACAAGATTACCAAATTTTTGATAATATTTTAATATATGTTTAAAGTTTCTATATAACATGATATATTTTCCATATAACATATTTCTATAAAGAATATAAATTTGAACATCAAAAAAATTGTGACTGTGATAGATAGAAACATATCAAGTATATAAAAATTCATGAGTTCATAATAAAACTCCAAAATCCTTGCCTAACAATTTTTAGAGGTTGTTAGGACGATTTTTTTTTTCAGAAAACTGAAATCAGTGAAATAATTAGCATTTATCTTTTCTGTAACAACTATTCAGAGGGATCAGAAAGTTGATAAGGGATGGGTTCTCCTCTGTAAAATAATATCTATTAGAAAAGAAACACTTTTGTACCCCTAATAATTAATATTATAGTATTCATTAACGGCTGCTAATATTACTGATAAGGATCTTTATGATGACTGGCTAGGCAGAGAATACCTGAATCCATCAGTGGATCCTAAGATCACGAAGACAGAAAGAACTACCTTTGTATTACAAACCTAGCTCCACTTACGTATTAATCTTGCAAAAATAAATTGGATCAGAATCCAATGAAGCAGCTACATCAAAATGTTCACTTATAGAAATTTCAAGTGACAGAAAAGCATGTTAAATTATACCAGAAAGATGCAATCAACATAATCTACAGTATGGGAAAGTCTACAGGACAAAAGTATTGTTTCTGCAATAAACAAATAGTATTTTAAAAACAAGTGAGGACTGCAATAGAATAAAGGAATTTAAGAGGTAAATCAACCAAATGCAATGTGTTGACTTATTTGAACAAATCAACTGATATATATACTCAAATTGTCCATAAACTAGGTGTTAAATACTATAAAGGAATTATCATTAATTATTTTAAGATTATAATTGTATTGTAGCTAAATTTAAAAGAACAGTCCTTATCTATTGGAAATATTTAAGTAATTACCAATAAAACGATTTTGTCTGAATTTACTTTAAGAAAACTCCAACCAAAAATATATATATATATACACATATATACATTTATATAGTGCATAGTGCATTTATGGGAATAGACAAGTAGATCAATCATGAATAGAAATACATAAAGTGAATAATGATAGTTCTTGAGGTTGGATAGTGTGTATATGGGTTTTCCTTATACATATCCAAAGACACACACACACACACACACACACACACAGAATGCTAATATTTCACCTAGAATATAACCCCAAAATGCCAAGAGGACAGATTGAAAAGTTTCAAAAATTTCAAAAGTTTCAAACGGACCAAAGAAAATGGAAGGGAAAAATATTTAAAATTTTATTTTCATTTCAGAACATAAAAGAGGCAAGAATATTTAAAGTTCTCATTAGAAAAAATGAAAAAAATCCTTTCTGTGGACCCATTATAGCAAAATTTCGAGACATCAGAAAAATCTGAAAATCCTCCAAAGAGGAAAAAAGACCCATTAAGGAGCAATAATTGGAGTAACATAGAACTTCTCATAGGTAAGAATGAATGCAAAATAATGGAGAAGTATCTTAAATAGTTTAAAAGAGAAATAATTTTTGTTAGAATTTCAAATCATGAAAAAGCAAAATAAAGACATTTTCAGATACTAAAATGTAATTTTCAAAAACTCACTCTGAAAGATTAGCTAGAGTTTAAGGAAAAAAAGAATTACAAAAACTGTGAGAAGTAATAATAATAATGTGTAACTGAAATTCTAGATGATCTTAATATGGGAAGGAAGGAGAAGAAGAAAAAAATTGTACTTGGGCCCAATGGATAAGATTAACCCAACGTAATTTGTAAAATTATGATTCAACATGAGTTAAAGTTTTCATATTTAAAATATTAGTGCTAAAAAGAAAATAACACATGTTACTAAGTGTTGGAGAAGATGTGGAACAATCAGAACTCTCATACACTGCTGGTGAGAGTTCAGATTGGTACAATCACTTTGGGAAAGTGACCGTGTCTACCAGTATTGGATATACACATACCATATGACCCAATAATTTTATTTATAGAAATATACCCAACATAAACTAGTACTAATATACATCAAAAGACTTGTACTAGAATATTCATGGCTGCATTATTTGTAATTGCCAAAAACTAAAAATTACCTGAAGCCCATCAACAGTAGAATGCATAAATAAATTATGGCATAGTGATACAACAAAGTATTATATAATAACGACAATGAATAAACTACAACTATGTGTAACAATACAGATGAATCTCACCAACATAATGTCAGCAAGAAAAAAAGAGCCAAACAAAAATAAATACCACATGATTCCATGTATATAAAATTCAAGAAGAGGAGAAACTAATCTCTTATGTTAGAAGCCAGGATAATGGTTATCTTGGGGAAAGAAGTTAGAACTGGAAGAGGGCCCAAGGGGGCCTCCAGGATGCTACTAATATTCTGTTTTTTGTTTTGGGTGTGAAAAATCATCAAACTATATGTTTATGATTTCTTGCCTTGAAATCAAGAAAAATGTCAAATATTAAGGGAACTCCTGAAAATTAGAACTTACAAAAAATGTAGAACTACCATATGGATAGAGGTGAAAATAGAATGATTGGCCAACCCAGTAAGAAGTAGAAAAGAAAACACCAAGGAATGGAAAGGATGGTAAATTGAGCACAAAAAAAAGAAATGACAAAATAAGTCCAAACTTACCAGTAATTCCCCCCAAAAGTGAATGCTTTAAATTTACCTCATAAAAGACAGAAATTCTCAGATACTGTACTGTTCATATGATATAAAGACTCATTTAAACAAAGTAACACAAAAGATTTAAGATTCCAAGTGTGATAAAAACCAACAAGGAAATATTAGTTAAAAAAATCTGATGTACTAGCATTTTTAGTAGCAAAAAAAAAGTAGATTTGAAGATATTGAAAAGGACAAAAAGGAGTATTTCAAATTTATGAAGGGAATAATTCACCAAGAAAGAACAACAGCCAAGTATAGCTGCAATATATATAAATAGAGAAATTGACAAATACAAAATCATGTGAGGAAACTTCCTATGGGAACTCTCAAACAGAAAATATACTTTTTTGTTAAGAGGCAGGGTCTTGCGCTGTTGCCCAGGGTGGAGTACAGTGACACAGTCATAGCTCACTGCAGCTGAAACTCCTGGGATCAAGCAATCCTCCCACTTAAAGCCTCCTGAGTAGCTGCAACTATAGGCATGTACCACCATGCCCAGCTAAATTTTTTTATTTTTATTTTTGTAGAGATGAGGTCTTACCATGCTGTCCAGGCTGGTGTCAAACTCCTGGCCTCAAGCAATCCTCCCGTCTCAGCTTCCCGAAGTTCTGAGATTACAGGCATAAACCACTGTGCCTGGCTAAAAATATACATTTTATTCAAATACAAGTGGAACACTTACAAAATATAATTATATACCACATAATTTTATTTCAAATCATTAAAAAATAAAATTTAAAACTCTTTATCGAAGATAAGCCAAATCATCATATAATTATAGGTGTCTGTCTCGATCATGAGTGAATAATTCATTACCATGATAAGTAGATGTTTTTTCCGTCATAACTGCAATTTTTTATTAAAGAATAAAATTATATAAGACAATGATAACACTCTAATTATTGCTAAAATCTGTCTGTGTGAAAAATTGTGTGAATGAAAAGAGATATGACCTAGGTCTCACAAATTTTCTGAATAAGTAGCCTTGTAAGAGAATATTGGACTACACTGGTTTGCATGTCAATCTTAGAAATCTCTAAATTCAATAACTTTTGACATGTAAACTCTGGGGCAGAAGAGAGAAATTTCAGTATTATATTTTGAAAGCTATTTAGGCATAATGGATGCTAATGTTAGCTAATTCAGACACATAACTACTCAGGCAGCATATTTGTGCAACTCACAGCTCCACCACCAATATTGACTCTACTTTTCCTGTGTATGTGTGTGTGTATTGAGTACAATAGAGGCTCTTGTAACTGGTAACAATGTAAGTAACAGTATTCTGAGCAGCATGCCTCGTGGCTAATTCTATAGTGATAGAACATCACAGTTCTCTTGCTTTGCCAAGAAGCATTGCCTAACATTAAACAGAGCTTGAGTCTAAGTTTGGGCTCCTTATTTTTTGAGGCAAGAGGAGGAATCTTGTACAAAATTTCCCCTAAAAAAAAGACAGTTGCTCAGTTGTAAATGGAGTCCTTATTTATTAAAATAAAAAAGTATTCATTTTCACTGAACATGTTTTTGATTGTCGAGAAAATCTAGAACTGTACCTTCTGAAACCAATTCATACATTTTCTACAAGACATTCATCTTTGGTCCAGACTTCATTTTATTCTCCCAAGAATATAATACATTCAATTCACAACAACTTTACAAAAAAATTGTAATAGGCAATTTGATATTAATCATGTAATTTCTTCCTCCTAATCATACAAACTTTATTAGGGAGAGAAAGAGAGAGAGAGAGGAGAAAAAGAGAGAGAGAGAGGAGAGAAAGAGAGAGACTTTGTGTACATAGGTAGTAGTGTACTGGTTAATGTTTAACATCTGGCTTCTCCCTGGAGGGAAAAAAAAAGTGCTGGTTTGTAACATTTGCTGGTTTCCATGGTGTAAATACTCCTTCTATGACTGATTTCAAGCTGCCAACATGATTCCTAAAAATCTAACAATCAGCTGTTATAAGCCAGTGCAGGCCAGTTTCAGCACACCAGTGGGGGAAAATGCTTTTAAACCATCAAAATTGAATTGATGAAAGTGTCTGCATTTTGCTACTCTGATTATGCAGTTTAGGGTATATAATTTATGATAAATGTAATCTTTTATATTCAGTTATTTTTTTACTTAGGTAAAATATTTGGCAACATAAATGTCATCCTTTTATACCATCAGATCTCAGAGAGAGAAGGTTGAATATAATTACACATGCACAAATCAACAATATAAAAATTAATAACTGCAGAATCAAAGCTACAAAAATAGCTCTTTCAGCCAGAACCACCATCTTCCAGTAATTCACCAAAATGACGAACACAAAGGGAAACAGGAGAGTCACCTGATAATTGTTCTCTTGGCCTTTCAGAAAACATAGAATTGTTCCTTTGGCCACATACATGGGAATCCACAAGAAAGGCGATATTGTAGACATCAAAGGAATGGATACTGTTCAAAAAGGAATGCCCCACAAGTGCTACCATGGCAAACCTGGAAGAGTCTACAATGTTACCCAGCATGCTGTTGGCATTGTTCTAAACAAACAAGGGCAGGATTCTTGCCAAGAGAATTAATGTGCATATTAAGCACATTAAGCACTCTAAGACCCGAAATAGCTTCCTGAAACGCGTGAAGGAAAATGATCAGAAAAAAAGGAAGCCAAAGACAAAGGTACTTGGTGTCAGCCAGCTCCACCCAGAGGAGCACACTTTGGAGAACCAATGGAGAGGAGCCTGAGCTGCTGGAACCTATTCCCTATGAATTCATGGCATAATAGGTATAGAAAGATAAAAGACCTCTGAACTACAAAAAATAAATATATTTAAAACATATATGTAATATATATGTATATATACACACACACACACATAAAGGGCACTTTTTAAAATTTATTTATTTATTCATTTATTTATTTATACTTTAAGTTCTGGGATACATGTGCAGAACATGCAGGTTTGTTACATAGGTATACACATGCCATGGTGGTTTGCTGCACCCATTAACCTGTCATTTACATTAGGTATTTCTCCTAATGCTATCCCTCCCCTAGCCCCCTACCCCCCAACAGGCCCAGTGTGTGATGTTCCCCTCTCTGTGTCCATGTTTTCTCATTGTTCAGCTCCCACTTAGACTGAGAACATGCAGTGTTTGATTTTCTGTTCTTGTTTGCTGAGAATGATGGTTTCCAGCTTTGTCCATGTCCTTGCAAAGGACATGAACTCATCTTTTATTATGGCTGCATAGTATTCCATGGTGTGTATGTGCCACAATTTCTTTATCCAGTCTATCATTGATGGGCATTTGGGTTGGTTCCAAGTCTTTGCTATTGTGAACAGTGCTGCAATAAACATACGTGTGCATGTGTCTTTATAATAGAATGATTTATAATCCTTTGGGTATATACCCAGTAATGGGATTGCTGGGTCAAATGGTATTTCTGATTCTAGATCCTTGAGGAATCACCACACTGTCTTCCACAATGGTTGAACTAATTTACACTCCCATCAACAGTGTAAAAGCGTTCATAAAGGGCACTTTTGAAAGTAGAGCCTAAAGACAGTAAGTAGTTTTCTGTGGTGGTTTCTTTCTTTTTTTTTTTTTTTAATGTGAGTAGATAATAACCATTACCTTCATGCTCTGTTCAACCCTGAGAAGAGCTTTTCAAGCTGTATTCCAGAAATGCAACATTAGAGTCATGCTGAGAGCTTTTCCTTTTAAAGCAGGTAACAGCTTATTATATAGATGTGGGGAGATATCATTTAGCTACACGCCCAGCTACACTCCTGGCCTGAGTCACTCTGACAAGCTTTGTATGATTTTCAAATAGGAGAAATGATCTTACTGACACTTTCTTCCAACCCAGAATGGGCTCCTTTTAATTAGGAAACTAGAAGATATGAAACCTCATTTTTTCCCCTAACTTACTGTACCATGTATCTGCTATTGACATTTTTGAAAAAAGACATCATTTTCCACATGTTGGGAAATTTTGTTATATTCAGTTTTATAAGTTATACAGCTTAATTATCCCTTATCCAAAATGCTTGGAACCATAAGCATTTCAGATTTCAATTTTATTCAGATTTTGGAATATTTGCATTCTATATTTTACCCTGGTTAAACATCCCAAATCCAAAAATCCAAAATCTGAAATGCTCCAATGAGCTTTTCCTTTGAAAGTCATATCAGCACTCAAAAGAGTTGAATTTTAGAAACATTTCAGATTTCGAATTTTCAGATTTGAGATGCTAAGCCTGTAACAAACAAAACACATGCACATAAAATGTTAGAAATTTTTCTATTCACATTAACTTTCCAAAAACTGCATTTTAAAATAGAATTTTAAGAATAAAAGGAATTCAGATGCTGTCTCAAACATTAAATGACACTGTCTGTTCAACTGACACTGCCAAGGGCATCAAAAATACTTGGGTTTGGTGTCATGAAATGTTTATATCCTTTTCTGCAGACGTAAGACTTAAAAGAGAGTATTGGATATTGCAGCAAATTAGTAATTTTAAAGCATAACTTAGTGTATTAACTTAGGAGCAAAATAAATGATGTACATTGATTACTCAGTTGAGTTTGATACATTAACTAGAAATACATAAACGTATGATTACATTTTAAGTGGACCGTAAGAGTTAAAGTGCTCTACTTACGATGAAATATGTTTAACTAAATGTCAATTACACCATTAATATCATTAAAATATCATAGTTTCCAAATAAATGATCACCATTGACCTTTTTTTCTTATTTCTGAGCTTAGTCATTTAATGTATTTTATTTCTGCTATAATCAAAATGCTATTCATAAGTAAATAACAACAGAAAAATATGTAAGTATGTAGATAGCAAGAAGGTTTACATCTACAGTTTTCCAACGGAGATATAATCCTGAGGCTACCTAACACTTTCCATGAGATATAAAGACAAAGATAGTTTTATGGAAATAAATTTAGTTAAAATATTCCCTTTAACAATTTCCCTTCTTCTGCTTCACAAAAGAAAGAAAACTACCTTAGGGGCATAAAAGTCTCTGGGGCATTAGAGACGCTATTTGAAATGTCGGTGGAGGTATTAAGAAAATTAAGATCGTGTCCAGGAAATGCAGTACCTAAAAAAAGAAAAGAAAATTAAGATTAGGTAACAAATCATTTTTTTTTCAATTGAGGGGTACTCAATTATTTTTCTTAAAAAAATTGTAAAGAGTCTAATTCAGTTGTCAATGATAGGTCACTAAAAGTACTTTTGATATGAGACTACTAGTTAGGATTCTTCAGATAAACAGAAGCAATAGGAGATAGAGATAAAGATATAGATAGATACAGAGACAGAGACAGAGATAGAAATAGAGATAGAGAGAGATAGAGAGAGAGAGAGAGATAGAGATTAGGGGATACAGATAGAGATAAAGGTAGAGGGGGGGATAGAGATAGAGATATAAACAGAGACAGAGATAGAGAGAGATAGAGATAGAGATGGAGATACATAGAGAACTATCTTAAGGAATTGGCTCTTGCAGTGGGGCTAACAAGTCTGAAGTTTGTAAGACTGGCTGGCAGGCTGGAAATTCAAGTAAGAGTTGACATCGCAGTCTTGAAACCAAAATCTATAGAGCAGCCAGTAGGCTGTAAACTCAGGCAGGGTTTCTATGCTGGCTGCAGTCTTAAGGTAGAATTGCTTCTTTTTTGGGAAACCTCAGTCTTTGCTCTTAAGGCCTCCAATAGAATAAATGAGGCTTAGCCACATCATTGCAGGCAATTTGCTTTACTCAAAGTGTATTGGTTGTAAATGTCAATCACCTCTACAAATACCTTCACAGCAACATCTAGACTAGTGTTTAACCAAATAACTGGGCACCACAGCCTTGCCAAGGTGACACATAAAGTTAACCATGACAGAGATATATGTGTTTCTTGCATATGACTTGAGTCAATAAAACTGAGTAACATTACTGTAGCAAAACTTTCATTCTCATCTACTTATTTAAGTGAACATAAGCTTTTCATCTCTAAGGAGGAGAAACAAAGCAAAGTTGATGCTCAACCCTGCCTAACAATTAGTAATATTCATGCATGTCTACAATAAGCTAATTGTTTAAAAAAATTATATCTATCCCCCTAAGAAATGCATTTGCTTAATAATTATGTATCAAAATGTGTAATATATTCATGCCATTTAGTCCAATTTTGTACTAATAACTATAATGAAAACTCAATCCAAAAGAAACATTTGAACAGTTAGAACCTATGGACATGAATTTTAAAAATTAGTTCCCAAATGAATACTCATGTATTTATTGCCGAGTAATATGATTAATAAGGGATTTTTAAGCATAAAAATCAATTAGGTTATAATTCAGAGGCAGAAATACAAGTACGAAGAAAACTACAAGTGAAACAATAGAAGATTTTTAAGCATAAAAATATATTGAATTAAGAAACAATTCTGTGGGGGGATGGAATGGAAATAAAAGAACAAAGAAAACTACAAATTAAATTTCTTTGAAAAGCATGGTCACCTAGTTTTGAATGGGTTATAGCTAGTAACACATTGCTATGGTTTTTGTTATATTGAGTGCTTTTAAAATGGTTTTATTCTAAAAGGTCAATATTTATATTATACTGAATATTACATCCCTTATCATTGTTTATAGTGATGAAAAGAAATTTTAATGTCCTTTTAAATGTGCAGGAGGGTATATAGCTTTTTAGAATTCTTTTAGCAGGTGTGTAAGAAAAAATTAGGAGATTACTGTCATACACGATATGCCTTAAGAATACAAAAGACATTTCTGTCTAGAAATAACTATGCTAAGTGGAGGAAACTTTTCAAGTTCTCAACTCTACAGAATATATTGCTACAACACAACCGAACCTTAGAGATCATCTTGTGCAGGTTCATTATGAGAAAATTGGGCCCAGAAAAGGTAATAAGAGGTTCTCTTCACCCACTCTAATGTCTTTGCCTACATCGTGATGTAGAGACCTTTTGCTGAGATGATTTGGCACAGCATCCTGCTATGCAGACAAGACTGTAAGGGCAAATATACAGTATCAGAATGGTACATGTGAACATTGTAATGGAATTTTATTAAGACATTTTATTTACTTAGCACCTCCAAGTTTATCACTTTTTGCTAAGGATAGATTAAAAGTTTGTCCCTGAACTTTCAGAATTTAACAGGTATTAATATGGACCTATTTGACAGCCTGATTCTGGCATATAAACTCCTGAAGTATAAAAAAATGGCTACCAAAGATCATGGCCCTCAGATGCCAAATGCTAGAATCGAAGGGGAAGCTGAGTGCTTTACCTGAGGTAAAGTGCTTAATATAATCATAACTAGGCTTTGTAAAAGAAAATATGGAGAGAAAATACCAAAGCAGTATTATATTCATTTGTATCAGTTTATATTAGGCTAATAATGTTGTAGGTGATTTTTTTCTTTTCTTTTTTTTTTTTTTTACAAATTTTGTTTAATGGGATCATATTACTTTTACAATAGAAGATTGTTTTCAGAAATATTCAGAGTTTGTAAGTTTCTTCACATTCACAAAATTTGGAGAGTTTAGACTGAAAAGAAGTATCAGGGGAGGAGAAGATAAATAATTTTAGAGCTTTAAATAGAGATCTACTAAGGAATATAAGGACTGATAAGAAATAAATATCAAGGCATTTATACCTTTATATTTTCTATTTAATACAATTATTTCATGTAATCAATTGAAAAAGAGATAAAGCCCCACCCTGTTGGGTTGTGACACATCAGACTTAGCCCCAGAGTGGTATCACTGTCAATGAGGCACAATCCAAACAGGCAAAAAAGGTTTCAGTGGAATTTCATTCCTTAGTTAAACCTCTGTAAAGACAGTAAAGGGAATCTATTTCTAGGCACTCAGCAAAATGTCACAGTTAGTGCATCTTGTTTTCTCTTCTCTTCTCCAGTGCTCTCAAATTCCACATCCACTAGAGCCTTTCATTTGCCAAACCAAGGTAAGAGGCAACAAAGAAAAGAAAAAAGAAATAAATAGATAAATAAATAAAAACTTCCTCTGCAATCTTCAGTCTGAAACTGTTTCTTTCCAAACTCATTGATTTGCTGAGATTCAACCACTTTGCTGGGTCCTCCTCCCTTTCCCTTTCTCAAGCTGGTGATGGATATGGGTTGGATTGGGAGAGTGGGAGTGGGCTGCAAGTTACAGGATTCCTGAATCATCTTGCTTCATCTTTAACTTTATAAAATCTGTGAAAAATTAAACATTTACTCACAAAATCATAACAGATACACTGTATCATTTTCTGCAACATCAACAACAACAACAAAAAATCAAAATTTGTAGTGAACGTCCACTTTCTTTTTTTTTATTATTATACTTTAAGTTCTAGGGTACATGTGCACAACGTGAAGGTCCTTCTCCACTTTCTTTTAAAAATGACACTGACAAAAACTCTCAGTCATTGAAACCCTGTGAAGTGTGTACTTCAGGGAAATCTGTGTTGATATGCATGTGTGCCATGTCAGAATCACTCACTACAGGAATACAGATGCAGTGTCTGCAGAAGCGTACAGAAGCCACATAGCACTGCTTGGAAAGATCCGTCAGCACCAGCCATTTGCTTTTTCTCATCTTTGCTTAGAAAATTTCTCTTCCAGCCACCACAACTGGGATATCTCCTGCTCAGTGGTAAATCACTTCTATTTAATAAAATGGCCTCTTAGAGCAATTTTTAATCTATTTTACTACCATGATGATCTGCCTGATCACGCTGATGTCTTCAAGGTGACAGCACCCACTGCATAATTCTCAGCCTCCTGGATCACACCACAGCCCCTCACTGCCTTCACTGCTGCAACATAGCAAAAAGCAAATTATTCTTGAATTGCTGAAAAAAAGGATGAAAAAATTTATAAAAACATTCAAAACAATTCCAAAAAAGCATGAATAAATTTTATAATACTTTCAAGACAATTTGTTTGATATTTATTTTCTAGATAATTGATCTACATAATTTAACCATTGTTTCCTCCGCCCAAATAAAACCTAGAAAGAAGAAATGATATGAAAGGGAGGTAACTCTGGAGAAAGAAACACAGTCAAGACACTCTATAGATTGGCCCCTTGAAAATATATTCTCTCACTCTGCCTGAATTGTCACATTGAATTAGCCAGACTACATAAAACTCCACTGTTGGAGATATTTTGGGTTAACATATATCTTCCTTTAAAGCACAAACAATCTTGGAGTCTTATGTTTAAATCAGCTTATTTTCATACTAAAAGGTGATTAGGAAGAGTTCATAAAAGATGGATTTTATTTGAGAGGTATGATGGGTTTTCACAGGGGAGAAACAGGTCATATTGAAGCAAGGAGGCCTTCCATGAGAAGGGCAAGATCAAAGATTTTACTTATAAACCTAGGAAAGCACTGAAGAGAGCATCTAAAGAGGTTGGAAAGTATGAGTAGAGAGTTATGATACAAAAGATGCTCTGTGAGCATTATAATTTTACCCAGAGCAGTGTTTTGCCCTGGAAAAGAGGAGGAAGTGTCTTCTAGCACTGAATACTACCCACAGACCCTCTTCATGGATGAGCCCTCCTCCCTGTCTAACTTCTATTCAGTTATTCACTTAAGCAACATTTATTAATAATCCTCTGTTTATAAATTACAAGAAGAGTTAGATGGGGATTTGGAGGACTGGTGGATAAGCTAGCTATCATCTGCAGCTCTACTTCATGGGGAAATGTGCACCAAGTACCCTAATATATGAACTCAACTTATTGTGAGAAATGCATATAAGAAATAAGTCAGAATATTTTTAGAAAGCATGCAGAAAGAGGAAAAAATTTAGCTACTTATAAGTAGCTAAATAGAATGCATACATTTTATTGTCCTACTGAAACAATATATATTTTTTAGTCATTTATACAGTAATATAAATTAGTTTAACACAATTGATTTTTTCCTAATTCTTAAGCTGATACTATTGCCAGGAAGGGGAATTTTTATTTTGGTTTGAGATCTATGCAGAAGACATCATTTTGCAATATGGATCATCTTTGGAGGTTGTACAGGCCGAGATACAGAGATGAAGAAAAACAAACAAACAAAAACTTAGGGCAGTTTAAATCTAAAGGTCTGCTGAAAACCCAGTAGGAACTCAAAAATGTTTTTGGACAAATAGGCTATATATGATCAACTCAGGAGTGAAACATTAAGTAGAGAGATATTTCTTCTCGTTTGTATTTATTAGGGACTACTCTATGAAAAAAGAAGGGAAGATTGCTGGTTGATGAGTTTGAGAAGGTGCCACGATCCAGCGTATCCTACCTGATATATTAACTCAGCCAGAACAAAAGAAGCAGAGGGGATAGGGTTCTTATGGGGTTATAAAAAGTAATTCAATGCTAGCATTAAATCTTTAAAGGAGTTTGTTGTTAAAAGGAATGAGGAACTGAGGCTTAACATGACTTAACAAAATACATTTCACACCCTGAACTAGGCCCTCTATTTTAGACCAGTTGTACATCTCTCAGTTTGTCTCCATTTATAGACAGAAGAACACACTGCATTAGGTCATTAACAAGACACATACAATGCACTGCCTTCTCAGTATAAGCAACCATAAAAATTCATTCTGGGGAAGAGTAAACCTGCCCTTCAACATTTCAGTTGTTGAAGGTTGTGCTGAATTAGATTGCAAAGATTACATAATGTCTTTGGGGGTTGCAGGCCTTTCATCCTCTCAGCTGGCATGAAAACTGCTAGGTGCTCTCAAACAGCACTAGAATTAATATGTGCGCATGTCCTATCACTTCGTTTATACAACACATCCTTGGCTTTTAAGAAACGAACTTGATTAGCCTTCCTCCAAATAATGTTCTGTCATTGTCCAAGACAAGGGGAAGTAGGTTCTGACTTTAAGAGATTTTAATCCCTGTAAAGAAGAGCTCTTCAAACGATCAGAATTGTAGAATATCAGAGTTCAGTAGATCTTAGAGTATTTTTTAGACTAAACCCCTCTTTTTATAGATGAAGCCACTGAAGATCAGAAAATTATTTGTCCAGAATCACACACCTAGCTCATGGAAGAAGAGACACCAGGTCTTTGCCTATTGAGATTCAGGTTTAGATACTTAAATACTAAAACTATGCTGTACAGTCTCCAGGGAACTCTTTAAAAGTGAAATTCCCATATGCCACTCCAGACAAATCATCAAAACCTCTGGGTGAGGAAACTTAGCTTCTGTATTTTTGTAAGTTTCCCAGGCAATTCTAATGTGGAACCAGTTTGGAAACCACTAGTCTAGGAAAAGAGTCTATCATCTTTGGCAAAGACAAACAAATATCTCCCTTTCTCTAGCATGTTCTTGGTTCTTGGTGTTCTTGTTCTTGGTGTTCTCGGACCTATTGTCCTGGGTCTAACTGTTGATAGAAACCCCTTTCACACTCAGAAATATCCCAGTATGCATGTCCCTAGCTACATCCTATCTTTAATCTATCTAACTTTTAGGCATTGAAATGACATCTCCCATGGCAAATGCAAAAGTCCCCCTAAAGAGTTAAAAAGTTATAGCTATGAGTCATGGTGCCAAAAAATAATACAATTTATCAGCTACTCTGGAATTCTCCCCCTAAAAAAGAGATATTTCTATGTCCATATTGAATTTTGGCTTCCTAAGCTTAAGGTGACAATGTAGCCAGGTTTTCAAAGACTTTGGGATGGCTAACTTTCTGGGATCTCCCTAGATTTAATATTATAGGAGTTCCCTACTTCCCTTAACAACAAATAGCAATTTATTAATGTTAGATGCAGGAGGAATAAAGGAATCCTGACACAAAACCAAGTTATTAACGAAAATGCTTATACCTGTGACATATCCAGAAAACTCATTTGTACCATTGAAGGAATTGTTAACTTCCTGCATGTTTTTTTCAATCTCCATTTCTATTTGTTGTTATTGTTTATTTTTGTCAGGATGTTTTCAGTTTGAAATAACAGAAATGCAATTCAACTAGCATGTGGTAAAAATTAATTTATTGACTATGTAATAGGGAAGGAAAGGAATGATCCCAGCATCAAACATTTTTTACCAACCTAATATATTCAGGACCAGATCACCAAGATCCTTTCCCCTTGGAACATCACAGTGTACTCCATGTAAATGTACAACTATTACATGTCAATTAAAAACAAAATTTTAAAAATTAGCCTTTTCCAGGCCGAGACGGGCAGATCACGAGGTCAGGAGATCAAGACCATCCTGGCTAACACAGTGAAACCCCGTCTCTACTAAAAATACAAAAAAAAAAAAAAAATCAGCTGGGCATGGTGGCAGGCGCCTGTAGTCCCAGCTACTCGGGAGGCTGAGGCAGGAGAATGGCATGAACCTGGGAGGCAAAGCTTGCAGTGAGCCGAGATTGTGCCACTGCACTCCAGCCTGGGCAACAGAGCGAGACTCCGTCTCAAAAAAAAAATAATAATTAGCCTTTTCCTCACGTTTCAGCTCTGCGTCTTTCTAGGTGTGGGCCTCATTCTCTAGTATTGTTGCCTGGCTGTAGCCACATGATGAGTAGGATAGTTTCTAGTGCTCTTAGTTTCCTATCCTTCCAGTAAGGGGACCACAGAGGCAAGAAACAATTTTCCACCCTTGTCCCAATAGGAATATCCCAAGGAGTCTGATTGATTGACCGATGTCATTAAGCTACCTCTCAACCAATGTATGCAGCCAGAATAATGAGTGCTTCGGTTGGCCACAACTGTTATTCCCATCCACTAATACTGGGTTATATAAGGAAGGGGCCTATTATATAAGTAAGAAGGTGCATATGGGAAAACTTGTTGTGCAGTTTAAAACAATAACTACCACATAATAATACCATCATCCTCATAGAGCCTCAAAAAATAAACAATTCAATAGATTAGTAGAGAAAATCTCAAAACATATTTAGGGGTAGACCTGCTTGCTTCTAAATTAAAGGTAAGAGGAATGCTGGATGAAAGATATAAAGCTTATTCTTCTAAATGCACTGTTCCAAATTTATTGAAATGGAGTGAGAATGTCCTTTCTTCACATAAGCACCTGAACCTCTATTGGGAAGTTGCCATTAGAAACACAGTTACATACGAGCGAAAAAGCAGCTGAAATCTCTCTTTTATTCTAATAGGATTCTGAGTGCAGATGGAGGAGCATTAAATTACACAGGAAGTCTAGAAAAGAATGAAATCCAGACCCAGGATGTCCTAACCCTTCCCTGACCCTTAAAAACAAAAACTGTGCAATTGGCACTTTAATGCTTTATATTCACTTATCAGGTGATAGCAAGAATTTGTGGATTACTGAAATGGAGCCTGAAGAAAACAGGTCAAAAAAGGGAGGCATATGAATAGGTATTTAATTCTTTCTCTGATAAATTTTAGAATATATTTCTTAGACCTTTGTCTCTGAGTTGGAACTACATTCAAATATGAAAAGAACTATTGATTAAACACAGCTGGTGAGCATTTTAATATCACAGTCCAAGAGGATGAAGCAGGAGCCCGTGAATTCCTCTCCAGTATAATCTCTGTTTATTATCAGATGTTTTCATACATTCAATTCTGCTCCAGGAATGCCTTTCAACACTTTGTAAATAAGAAATAGTAAATGTAAATGAGTCCGTAATTAATTATATAAAGAATAAAACTGAGACATGAAGAAGTTGGTCTCCTGAGAATTCCCATAAATTATCATGGAGTCTAAAAACCAATTGCTGAAGGAGGATATGGTCAGTGCATTTGCAATGTTAGAGAAGGAAATATTTTTCCAAGCTCAGCTAGTAACTACTGTACTCATTTCTATGCTTCAGGGACCAACTTGTGATTCTTTAGATCAATATTTCTCCAAGTTTCAAATGTTAGTATAAATGCACATTGTAGGCTATCACCCCATCTTTGCTGATTTAGTATCCGTGAAGAAAGGGCCTGTTCTAGAACCTTTATTTTAATAAGCATCCTCACATATTTCTTAAGCAAGCTAAACTTTAAGAACTACTGTTTTACTATTTATTAATTACCAGTACACTATTTTCTACCTCTAGTATATGATTTATTTTTCTTTATATTTAACTTTTAATAAAAACAACATTTGATCAGTATATGATTTATTTTTCTCTTTATATTAAACTTTTAATAAAAACAACATTTGATCAGTATTGCCTTTTACTCCTTAAGGAACTTAGGAAAGCATTCCTTAAGCACAATTCTAGGTATATCTAGCCTATCTGAGATATATAAACAAAAGTTCTCTATTATTCATTCAACAAATATTTACTGAATATTATTTTGTGACAAACTCCACTCTCTTTACTGGAGACAGAACAATGACCAAATAGACAAAAATCACTGCCTCCATGGAATTTATATTCTGGGTGAAAGAGAGGTTGCTAATAAGACTTAAAAGATGAAAATATACAATATGTTAGATAATAATACTTTCTAAGAAAAAAATGAAACAGAATATAGCAATAGGTAGCACATAGGTGCTATGGTTTGAATGTATCCCCTCCAAAATTTATGTGTTAGAAACTTGTTCCCCAGTGCAGCAGTGTTGAGGCCTAATGAGAGCCATTTAGATCACGAAGCTTCTGCCATGCCACCATAAAAAGTACTCATGGGAGTCAGTTCTCTCTCTTTTGCTTTTCTGCCATGTGAGGACACAACATTCCTTCTCTCTGGAGGAAGCAGTGTGTGAGGTGCCATCTTGGAACCAGAGAGACCAGGCTCTAAACTGACGGTGCCTTAATCTTGAACTTCCCAGTATATAGAACTGTGAAAGAATAAATTTCCACTCCTTATAAATTATCCAGTCTGTGGAATTCTGTTATAGCAACACAAAACAAACCAAGACAATAGGTGAGAGGAAAACAGTATTTGAAATTTTAGACAGGGCAGTCAGGGAAGGTTCCACTAAAAAGGGAACATTTAATTTCAAGCCTTAGAAGGTAAAGAAGTGTGGCTATTTGGGAAAGGAGAATTTCTGGCACAGACACCAGCAAATGCAAAGATCCTGAAGGAGCAAAAGCATGCCTGATATGTTAGATGAAGACGAAAGAGATCAGTGTGCTTGGAGCAAAGTGAACGAGAGAGCAGTGGAAAATAAGATCAGAGAGCTGGAGAAGGGCAGATCAAGTAGTATCTTACAGGTTCTTCTAAAGACTTTGGTTACATTATGAATGAGATGAGAAGCAATTGGGACTAAAGATTCTGAACACTGTTCTTTTTATTTAAAAAGCAAAAGTAAGAGAGGGAGTATAATAGCATGGCTTAGAATGCAAATCCCTGACTCTGGAGGATTTTACTTCCAGCAATATCTAGTTCAGTGATTTGGGCCAAACCTGCTAAAGATAATAAAAAAGACTAGCTAATATTTTTTAACTTCCTAAATGCATTAAAGAACTAACAATGCAATTAGGAATTATCAAATTTAGGAGAAATTTGGAAGAAAACAGGAATCTAAAGAGATGAGCCTAACATTCAAAACCACCCCACCAGTGGGCATTTGTAAATCCAAAAAGAGATGATTAAAAGGTTGTGCAACACTTTTTATAACATCACTTGAATAGGAACATATAAGTAGGGGTCAAAGTTGGGGAAAATAGAAAAGAACTCCCTATTTAATTTGGGGCTCAGAAGGGCTGAAAACTGCATTCCATGAATAAGAAAACTGGAAATAATCAAAGAACTATATGGACTGCAGCATCTCTCTGCCATCAGATTTCCTGGGTAACACAGAATATCTCAAATCCTAAAATTAGATTTAGGAGATCCTAGATTAGTACTGCCACCAGGCACATAAAAGAAACAAGAGTAAATCTTCCCTGGAGGAATTCACATCATCTTAGGCCTCAAATTATTTCTATAAATAATTTTTTCAAATACACTATGCAGCACCTAATCAAAGATAACGAAAAACATGAGGAAACAAGATAAAATGAACAAGATCTGGTACAAATAACAGTCAGCAGAAACATCCATAACTTCTTCAGTTAGTAAAGTTGTCAGAAACAGAACATAAAACAATTACCATGTCTATGAAGTGAAGCTAAAAGGCCAACTTTTAAGCTTCCAAAATGAACTGGAAACTGTAAAGAGTAAACATTGCTAATTTTAAAAAGAACTAATTTGATATTGAACATTCCCAACACAAAGAAATGATAAATGTTTGAGATGACAGAAATGCTAATTACCCTAATCTGATCACTATACATTATATATATGGAAACATCACTAGTACCCCCACGAATATGCACAATTATTACCTGTCAATTAATAAAAATAAAATAAAACAAATAAAAAGGAAATTCTACCATATTGGCCAGGCTGGTCTTCAACTCCTGAACTTGTGATCAGCTCCCCCCTGGCTTGACCTCCCAGAGTGCTGGGATTACAGGAGTGAGCACAACAAAAAGGAAATTGTAAAACTGAAAGTACAAATAAGCTAAATTAATAACTCAGTGGCTGAGTTTAAGAACAGATTAAAGAAAGATGGAAGACAGGTCAGGAAGAACTACTTACAATGATACATAGAGAGACAAAAATTTGAAAAATACAGTAAGGAGGGTTTGATTCATTGAGAAAACAATGAAAGATCTAGCATACATTTAATTGTAGTTGTAATAAAAGATAAGAGAGTGGGACAAAAATATTTACATAATATTGGCTGACAATTTTCCAAAATTGATAAAAGAAGCAAGCCACAGCTTCAAGAGATCGCAGGGCAGATTAAAGGAAATTTACACAGAGATACATCATAGCAAAACATATAATCAAATAAAAAACGAACAACCTTAAAAGCATCCAAGGGAAAAATAAAATATAAATTCTTTTCAAAGTAGCAACAGACTAACAGATGACTTTCCAAGAGCACCAATGAATGAAAACTTAAAGTGTAAAATATCTTTAACATATCAGTAGAAACACCACTTTCCACTTAGATTTTTATACTCAGCAATATCATTCTTCAAAACTGAAAGTGAAATATATACATTTTCGGATAATAAAAAATTGATATTCAAAGTTAATTCAAAATCAACTTCCAGTAATAGTAGGAGATACGTGGCCCTGCAAACCTGCAGCAGATAGCAATTATAAAACATGAAAGACATTAAAAACAAAACTGCCTAAAGTTACTGAGAAGTATCTAAAAGCATAAATAAAAATACAAAAACTGCGTGGAAGAGCTAAGAATTGTGAACTCACAATATAAAAACCACAGAGACCCAAATGCAGAATCTGAACTACTTAAATGCCTGATTGATAACTATTCGTATATTTTAAGGCTCCAGGAGACACCACAGAGAAGTAGGCAGAGGGAAGATAATGTGTATTCTAGAAAAATACAGTGATATTGAGCAGAATCTATGAATTGGATGCTTTTCTTAAAAAAGCATGTTCCCAGTTATGAAAAGTTCAAGTAACAGAAAACCTAAAGGTCAGAATACAGATCCCAAAGCAAACAAACCTGCAGGAAATTACTCGTATCTTAGAACCATTCCATGCTCTTTTTGCCCTGTTCCGTCTTTGCACTGCTTTTAAAACCTGGTTCTCTGTGGGTTTTCCCTATGCTAAAAAACTTGGTAGTTAGTTAAGTATTTTGGCACATGTGGCACTCACTTCAGAGACAGTTATAATGTCTATAAAAATATTCAAAGAATTGGCTGGGCATGGTGGCTCACGCCTGTAATCCCAGCACTTTGGGAGGCCAGGGCGGGTGGATCACCTGAGATCAGGAGTTTGAGACCAGCCTGGCCAACATGGTGAAACCCTATCTCTACTAAAAATATAAAAATTAGCTGGGCATGGTGGTGCGTACCTGTAATCCCAGCTACTAGGGGGGCTGAAGCCGGAGGATCGCTTGAACCTGGAAGGTGGAGGTTGCAGTGAGTCAAGATGGTGCCACTGCACTCCAGCCTGGGCAACAGAGTAAGACTCCATCTCAAATTAAAAAAAAAAAAAAAAGTTCAAAGAATTGAAGAAAAATATGGTGTCAATGAATAAATAGGCATTTTATAGTTAACATTTGTACTTCTTTGGCTTTAGAATTATTACTTAACAATGTTTATTTCAGTCAAGAAATAATATTTCTTAATATAATATTTATTATAATAAAATATATTATAATAGTAATATTACAATAAAATTATGGTAATATTTATACTATTATAAATATAATATTTATTTCAACAAAGAAATAAACATTATTGTTAAATAATTGTAAAGCTGAAGAAGTACAAATGATAAAACTACAAAATCTCCTAGATGTGCAAAACAACACATCAGAGATGCCAAAAACCACAGAGAATTAGTCAGCTGAATTGGTTGAACTAGTCAGTTAAATAAGAAAAAAGGGAAGAATAAAAAGGTTGAAATTGATTAAACTACATTAAAATGAAGAACTTCTATTAATCAAAAACACTATTACTGAATATTCTCACTTATAAACAACTCTAAACAACAAGAACACATGGACTCAAAGGGGAAAAACAGACACTGGGGCCTCCCTGAGGGTGGAGGTGGGGAGGAGACAGAGGATCAAAAAGCTGCCTATGGAGTATGATGGCTATCGCCTGACTGATGAAATAATCTGTACACCAAACCTCTGTGACATGCAGTTTACCTATATATAACAAATCTGCATGTATGCCCCTAAACCTAAAATAAAAATTAAATTAACAAAAAGAAAAAAGAAATCTGTTGAGGATGTGGAGAAATTGGAACTCCTCCATACTGTTGGTGGGAAAAAAATGATGCAGCCACTATGAAAAACTGTGGAGATTTGTCAAAAATTAAAAATGAGAATTATTATCCAGCAATCTCATTTCTGAGGACATATCTAAAGTATGCAGTGCAGGCCCTGGAAGAGATAGTTGCACACCCATGTTTATTGCTGCATTATTCATAAAAGCCACAAGGTGGAAGCAACCCAAATGTCCCTTGACATGAACAGTTAAAGAAAATGTGGCACATACATAGAATGGAATATTATTCAACCTTAAAAAAGAAACCTTGTCACATTCTATGATAAAGATAAACCTTGAGAATATTATATTAACTGAAATAAGCCAATAACAAAGTAATAAACACTGTAGGATTTTACTTATATGAAATAATCTTAAGTAGCCAGTCTCACAGAAACAGAAAGCAGAATGATGTTTGTCAAGGGCTAGGGATTGGGTAAAATGGGCAGTTGTTACTTAAAGGGTATTGAGTTTTAGTTTGCACGATATAAAAGTTCTAGAGGTCTTTTGCATAACAATGTGAATATAGTTAACACTATTGAACTGTACACTTTAAACGATTTAAAATGGTAAATTTTATGTTGCGTGCGTTTACCAAAATTAAACGCAAACATGTAACTAAAAAAATGCTATAAAAGAGTAAAAATGTGAGTCATAGAATGAGAGAAAACATATAAATCTAACTGAAATCTCATATTAGGACTACATTAAAAACTTCTGCAAACTAATATGAAGGAGAGATGACTATGGTAAAAAGCAAAAAAGAATGGACAGGAAACTTGAAAAGAGAATTCCAAAGAGAGACATCCCAATGACTTGTAAACAGAAAAAGATTCTCAACCTCATTAGTAATCAAGAAAATGCAAATTAAAGACAAACTATGTTCTCACTACATATTTATCAGAATGAGTAAAATTAAAACAATGAAAATTCTCACACACTGCTGGTGGGAATATAAATTGGTCAAGAATTTGGAAAATTATTTGACATTAACTGCCAAAGTTGAACATACACAGATCCTATCCTCAGCAATTCAGCTTCTAAGTATGTCCCCTGCATGTGCAACAGGAGACATGTACCAAGTGTTCATAGTAACATATTTATAATAACCAAATATTGAAAACACCTAAAGGTTCATAAAAAGTAGAAGAATAAGTGGTAATATCCTCATTCAATTGAATACCAAAAAACAATGAAAATGAACAACTATAGAAACAATTAGGAGTAAATGAACTAAAATTCCAGAGACAGAATAGTCCTTCCTAGATGAGATGTTGATCATGATCGCCAGCTGTTTTCTTCTCTGGGGGCATTTGCTGGTTTCTCTTCTGCTGGTTTCTTTCTGCTTAATGGCATTAAAATCTCTAGTTGAGACTTTGTTCTCAGTTCATACCAGGAATTGGCAGAGTTTTGGTGGCTTTGAGGAGCTCCCACAATAGATTAAAAAATACAAAAGCCCAGTTTTTTGTAATTTTCTTTTCTTTTTTCTTTAAGAGACAAGGTCTCCCTCTGTCACTCTGGCTGAAGCACAGTGGCACTATCATAGCTCACTGCAGCATCCTCAAATTCCTGGGCTGAAGTAATCCTTCCACCTCAGCCTCTTGAGTAGCTAGCACTACAGGCGCGACACCATACCCAGCTAAGCTTTTTTATTTTTTGTAGAGACAGGGTCTCTCTGTATTGCCCAGGATTACCTCAAACTCCTGGCTTCCAGTGATCCTTCCACCTTGACCTCTCAATGTGCTGGAATCACAGGCGTGAGCTGCTGTGCCTAGCAATTTTCTTTTACTATAACATCCTGCTCTGATTTTAGTTTTAGAGTTTACTAGCCTGGTAAGATGAGTTGAAGAGTAGTCATTCTTTTTATATACTACAGAAAAGTTTTAAAGCATTGAAATTAACTCCTTTATGAAGGCTTGATAGAACTCACTAGTAAAACTGTTGGTGTCTAGTGTTCTCTTTCTGAGGGTATTTTTACTGCTTTAATTTCTTTACTAGTTATGTGAGCACTAAAAATTCTTATTCTTGATTGAGTTTTGCTAAGGTATGCTTTTCTCGGAAATTGTTCATTTTGTCTATGATTTTTTTATTCATTAGCATAAATTTGTTCACAGAGATCTCTTGCTCTCTTCTAAATATCTGTTAATTCTCCAGTGATACCATTTTTCTTTGATTTACCATTTTATTATGGATATTTTCAAACATACTCAAAAGCAGAGAGATTAGAGCAAACCGGGATAGTAAGTCAGTTTATAACTATTTTCTATCTTTCCGTTTTGACTTTTTGGATCACTTTGCACCTGAGATTTTTCTTGGAGATTACATACTAGACTTTTGGTTTTTAATCCAACCTATCTCTGTCTTCTAAGTGGAGCTCAGATTCTTTTTACCACTTCCTTTTTTCATAAGTTTAAGTTTCTAATTCCATTTTTTTCTATAGTTCTGAAGATTACATACTCTATTTCTATTCATTTACTGGTTAACTTTAAGATTTTAATATGCAAACTCCTTTGATCTAAAATTTTTCAACATTTCAAACTTTCTCCCAAATACAAATATGTTACGTTTAACTCTTTTCATACCCCCTCATCATACATGTTAATTTTTCTAAATATTTATGTTGTATAACAATTTAACTACCCAAATCAAATATGGCATTTATACCATCCAATTTTTCTTCAGATTTACCTACATATTTCCCAGATATCTTGCTCACCAGTCCTTCTTGAATGTCTGAATTCCAACTTACTTTCTTCTTAGAGAACATCATAGAAATGTTGAGATATAATTTACATACTATATTAGTTTCCTAGGACTTCTATAACAGATTACCATAAACTTAGTGACTTCAAACAGTAGAAATTTACTCTCTCACAGTTGCAGAGTCCAGAAGTTCAAAATCAAGTTGCTGTTAGGGCCAGCCTCCCTCCAGAGGCTCTATGGGAAAATCCTTGCTTGCCTCTTCTAGCTTCTGATGACTTCTAGCATTCTTTGGCTTGTGGCAGCATAATTCCAAACTCTGCCTCCATCTTCACAAAGGTCTTTTCTCTGTGTCTCTCAGTGTCTCTTCATTTTATAAGGACAGCAGTCACTGAATTTGAGGTGCTAAATCCAGAATAATTTCTTTAGATCTTTATCTAATTGTATCTGCAATGACCCTATTTCCAAATAAGGTCAGATGCTGGGATTCTAGGTGGGCGTGAATTTTTGCGAGGACACTATTCAACCTCTACATGTGCCGTACAATTCACCAATTTGTACAGAGTAAAATGTAAAATTCATTTTTTTGTATATTTAGAATTCTGTAACCATCTCCACAATCAATTTCAAAACATTTTCGTTGTCCCTAATAGGAGCCCTGTACTGTCAAATACATCTTTTAAAATTTTCTTTAGTGAGAAACTTAGTGGTTGCAAATTTTTTCAGTTTTCCAAGTCTGAAAATATCTTTATTTTGTATTCGTTCTTAAAAATCAAGCAAAATTTATCATTGTAGGTTGACATTTATTTTCCCTCAGCAGTTTAAATAAATAAAATTCCACCATTTTCTGGATCTGTTATTGCTATTGAGAAGTCTGACATTAGTCTAATTGTCCTTTCTTTGTAGCATCTATCCTCTTTCTTTGTTTTTAAAACCTTCCCTTTATCTTTAGACTTCTGCAGTTTCACTATGACACGTTCAAGTGTGATTAGAATTTGTTGTAATTATCAAATCTTTAGATTTGTATATTTCATCATATTTAAAAAATTAGCCATTATATCTTCATAAATTCCTTCTTTTTATTTTTTTTCACTCTCCCCTTCTGGAGATAGACCTTGGTAGTGGGGAATCAGATTCCAGTTAGCTCAGCAGATTGCTCTGTTCTGGTCCCATTTTCCATGCCATCTGAGGGAAAATTCAAAGCGCATGCCCTACTGAGAATAGCGGGTATGTTAAGCCATCTTTCCAGATTAAGAACTGTGTTGCTATATTATAAATGAAGAGAAGTGTTCTTTGGAACTGTTGCTTGGCCTATAGATAAATATTTGAGTTTAGCAACTGATCTCTATTGGTTTTTTTCCCTAATCTTCCAGAGTAAAAGTGTTATAGAAATCCCATCAATCATATTTTGCTGTTTCAAAGAAAACACACAATATTGAGCAATTATTGTAGCCAACATCCCAGTATATAATTCTAGTTAATTACTGCCAGTTATTATGTTTTTTCCACAATATTTATCTTTCAGTGAGCAAAACTCAGTCTCAGAATAAGACATTATCTTATTCATTATGCCAGAAATGAATTTCTAAAATACATTATTAAAATAAACTATTACAAATCCAACTGTCTAAATGGAAGCTGTGTCTTTGTCATAAACCTTACTCAGGATACTTGGAAACTATAATTTGAAAAACAGAAATAAAATATGTCCCAGGGCTATGGTCCATTTGTCAGAACATTTCCACGTACATACTTTAATTTGATCTCTCTACATAATAAAAGATATTTACATATGTTTGGCAGAAGTTCTTGCTGTATTAATGTGTTTTTCTTCTCTTTTTTCCAAGAAGGTAGACAGTGTCTTTCTAATATCCTCTCCTCAGTGTGGTGGCCACTGCCAGGCCTGCCCACAGAAAGCCCTTAAGGAGACTTAAATGGAAAACTCAGATAAGGAGAGAATGTCCCTGTGCTAGCAAAGCAACAATTTCACGGCCTGGAACCCAGATTTTTGGTCTGGTTCACATGCTTCCTAGAGAAGGTTAAGTATTACCTTTCAAGGTGATATGTTATTTCTGGGTGCTGATGTGGCTGGAAATACAAAGAACAGCAAGCCCATCCCCAACCTGGCAGGCATTCCCCTTTTCAGGGGCTGCCAAGACCCCTGAGATTGGCTGTGCCTCTGCCTGATATGAGGGGGAAAGCGAGGAGCTGCACCTACATACTTGTGTCCCTGTCTTTATATGTTTCTGCTTTGCTGCTGTGATGCTTCAGGAGTAAGCTGAGTCCAAGTTATAGTTCTTACCAATCCTCAAACCCAAATCAGATTCCATTGTCCAGTCCAGATGCTCAGGGATATTTGTAGGGCATGAAGCAAAAACTGCTCAAAGGTAATCTTTTGTGAAAGTCTATATCCATTGGAGATATTATGCTAGTTGTCCTGGGGTTTCTTTGAGGGTGAATGTGTGAGTCTGTGTCTTTGTTGGAGAGTGGGACATGGATGGTCTTGGACAACTGAACGGGAAGAAAGTTCTAGAAGATCTACATCTTGCTCCCTGGGAAGCCCAGGGTGGGTACCAAGCCCACAGAGGAGTTTTGCTCTACACATGGCACTGAAAACACCGAACTATTGAATTTCAAGAATCTGCAGGTGTTTGTGCCATGAACAGCAACCACATAGGGCTAGAAATTTGAGACTCTTCCTTCCTTTCCTAAGCACCACATACATCCTCTGTATCATCCTAGATGGAGGAAAGAGCCGTGGTCAGGATTAATACCTTATTTCTCATCCACTTCTCAGAATAGAGAAACCAGGTCAGGGTTCAAGTTGATTTAGAGAAAATAAAGTAATGGATTATTTCCTCCAGATCTGACTCTGTGGCTTATGATTAATACTATATACCATACATATTTACAATTTATCTTTCAAGCTGAGTAAAATTTCAAAAATATTATCTATCACTTACTCGTAGTATACACACATACACACACACAAATGCACACATAGGTATGTACACACACAATGGAACACATTTTTCCTTATTCCATTTCTCTTTTGTGTGTTATTTTTCATTTTCCAAACTCCTAGACTTGTATGGTCTTCCTCCCCATGATTGTGATTCTCCTCTCTATGTTTTTCTCTTCTTTTGCAATATAATCCCTAAAAACCTTTTGCAGATGCCTCTTTTCCACCCTGTCCTTCATCTTCACCTTCTTCACCTATCAAGAACCACTGATAACTGGCTCCACTATCATTATCTTTGGCTGTGGGATAGCGCTGTTGTGCCTCCCCCTTCCGCATTATTTTCTTTTCTTTTCAGGTGATACACTCTTCTTTCCTGCTTTGAAACTTTAAATATTTAACTGGTGGACTGAAAAGATGTAGACTTCTTTTGCAAGAAGCTTAGTAATGAAATGAAAGAAACAGGCTGGGAGCAGTGGCTCACGCCTGTAATCCAAGCACTTTGGGAGGCTGAGGCAGATGGATCACTTGAGGTTAGGGGTTCGAGACCAGCCTGACCAACATGGTGAAACCCCATCTCTACTAAATACCAGAAATTAGCCTGGCGTGTGGCACATGACTGTAGTGCTAGCTACTCAGGAAGCTGAAGCAGGAGAATTGCCTGAACCTGAGAGGCAGAAGTTGCAGTGAGCCGAGATCATACCACTGCACTCCAGCCTGGGGGACAGACAGAGACCCTGTCTCAAAAAAACAAACAAAATAAATAAATAAGTATATAGTTCATTGTAATAGCAAATTGAGAAACAAGATATGTTCAGCACAGGAAAGACATGAAAATGCTTCTCCTCAGAAGGAAAGAAGTGAGTAGAGCAGGAGGCACTGACTAAGAGAAAGAAATGGATAATTAAAGAGCCAATTCCTATGAGAGGCAAGAGGGAGTAATATCAAGGGTAACTTGAAAAAGAAGGGACATTTTAAAATTAGAATAAAGATGAGAATTATTAAATATACAAAAAATATTAAATATACATTCTTAAATATACAGAAATATTAAATGCACAAAAAATGTGATGTAAAATTGAAGCAAGTTAATGGGGCTCCTACCACACTTGTCTCATTGCTTTCAACAGAGTAGGAGATATTGTCACTGGCTAAGAATGAGCTCAGAGGTTAGCAAGTGGAAAAGGTTTGAAATAACTGGGGAATTCTGAAGAAGTAACAAAATAATAACAATAGCCACAACAATAAAAATAATAATGGCATTGTAATATAATTATAGACTTCTCTTTTGTCCCTCCAGTTAACCTCAGCTTCTGTCATATCCTTCACTTCCTCCATTTGTGTTCTTACTTTTAGGGTCTTTGTTCTGTCTGCTGCAAGCCTATTGGCCCCATTCACTTTCCTCTTTCCATCCCTTGGTTCCTCTATACTCTTTTCCCTCTTTCATTCCTCCTCTACTCACAAAGCCGAGTTCTACTGGTTCCTTTTATCTGCAAGAGCTTTCTTCTCCTTATGTTCTTGCTATACCTCACATTTAATTTCATCTTCATTCCTCCCCACATCCATTCCAAAATCTGTAACTTCCTTGTATTAATTCCTGAAGCCAAATCTACTGATTTTTCCCTTCCTTTCCGGTCCCAAGGACTTTCTCTTTATTATTTGGTAGCTGTTTTCATCTCAGTTATTTCACTTTACCTTCCCTTTTCTACTGCTAGAGATAGGCCAGCTCTTCCTACCTCCTCTGCTCCTCCCAGGGCAACCATGAGCATTTTCATAGCTAGTTTTCCTTTCTCAGAGGTTATCACAGTCTCATCTTCTAAAGAATATACTGTCGTGCTCTTTCTTCCATCCTAAAAGCTCAATACTTGACAAGTAGACAATTTCCCAAGCCACAGTAAAAGTATATTTTAACCTTAAACTTCTTCTGCCCTTGCCACGATAGCTTAATTCAAACTGGTTTCCCACCTTTTTTGAGACTAGTGATTTCTTTAAACGAACGCTAGCAGTTCTTATATTCAGGCTTTCCTTCCCAAAGATAAAGAACAACCTTCATACTTGGTTGACTAAGTGAACTGCTCCATAAATCCTCTAGCATTCTGTAATTTCCTCGCCCCTGAAACTGGAGGGGAAAAATATAAATCCAGCCTTCAACCCATTTGTGCTTGCTACCTGTGCTCTAACAGACTATTTTCTTAGCCAGATCTGTGGCAGAATACAGATGACCTCAGATTCTCCGGTACTCTTCTCATCAAGAGATGACTGGATCTATGTCCATGTCCCTAGAATGTGAATAAGTTCTGTTCTTGCTTTGACCAACAACATGTGGAGGAAATGACGCTGTTTCAGTTTCTGGGCCCAGGCCTTAAAAGACTGACAGTTTCCACTTTATCTCTATTGGAAGAGTCACTCTTGGCACCCTCAGCTACTGTAAAAATGTCAGTCACCTGATAGAGAGACCAAGTGGAAAAGCCTGAGGCCCACTGGAAAAGAAGGGTTCAACTGAGCCTCGACTTCTAGCCATACCTAGGAAGGCCTCAGACGTGTTAGTAAAGCCTCCAGGCCAGATCAGCCACTCATAACACTGAGTAACCCCAGTCAATGCCATGTGGAGAAGAATCATCCAGCCACTTACCGAAACTTCCAAACAACAAAGGCATATGTATGTGTAAAATTGCATATGTATTTGCATATGTATAGATAATGTCTATATGCAAAATTATTATTGTCTGAAACCACAGTTTGGGGGATAATTTGTTATGTAATAATAGATGAAGGAAGAAGGTCTTATGGGCACACACAAAGGAATGTCACTCATGCACAAACAGATAAAGTTCATTTGTTCCTCAATGACCTTAGAATAGAGTATTATCCTCATTTCACAGATCGAAAAAATAGTAAGTGCGCTGTAGAATCAGTATAGTATAAGGTTAAGAGGGTGAAGTTTAGAATTAGAGCATCTGGTATCAAAGCCCGCCCTTGTCACTTACCAGTTGTATAACTTTCTGAAACTGAATTGAGCTTCAGACAGAGTCCAAATGACTATGTTACTTTGAGTTATATACCATTAAAAGTAGAAGGCATCTTATTCATTCTTTCTATTTGATAGCACAATAGGGTGACTATAGTCAATAATAGCTTAATTGTACATTTCAAAATAACTAAAAGAGTGTAATTGGATTGTTTATAACAACAAAGAAGAAGTGTCTGAGGGGGCACATATCCCATTCTCTATAATGTGATTATTTCACATTGCATGCCCATATCAAAACATCTCAGGTACCCCATAAATATATATACCTACTATGTACCCACAAAAATTAAAAATTAAAAATCTTGTAGAAAGTAGAAGGGATCTTGGGATCATCTAGTCTAGTGGTTTTAAAACCATGCTGCTTCAGAAACTTGTGTGTGAAATACAAAACTGAGGATGTATGCCAGTCACCCGGAGCCAGATTCTAGAACAGCGTGCTCCTCACAAAGAGGAGCAGGAAAGGAAGACCCCTTCTGTGATGCTCAAAAAAGTGTGTTGTGGGAGCGGGTGGAGGGTTGGCAAGGGGAATTCTTCATGCCCCATCTCCCGACAGGCCCCAGTGTGTGTTGTTCTCCTCCTCCGTGTGTCCATGTGTTCTCATCATTCAACTCATATTTATAATTAAGAACATGTGGTGTTTGGTTTTCTGTTCCTGTGTTCATTTGCTGAGGATATGGCTTCCAATTCCATCCATGTGCCTGCAAAGGACATGATCTGGTTCTGTTTTATAGTTGCATAGTGTTCCATGGTGTATATGTACCTCATATCTTTATCCATTCTATCATTGATGGGCATTTGATTGATTACATGTCTTTGCTATTGTTACAGCACTATTCACAATCGGAATTTTCTTAAAAATTATTGCTGCTAAAACAAAATAAACTAAAATACTAATATTTACTAAATCTATCTTTTAAACTAGCACCCAAACTCCTAATTTCAAAAATGAGGAGAGTGTCAGGGGAAGTGACTTTTGCCTAGAATACTCCTGCCCATTCTCTTCAGAAATTCCTGCTCATCCCTCATTTCTCAGACAAGACTTCAATTCCTTCAAAAATATTCCATCCACTTTGCATGTTCATTTCTGTGACTGTTTCTTTTTCAACTTTTTAATCAAAGTGCTCGCTACTACATTTCACCAATTCTAAGATTCACATTTTTCATATTTTAATATTGCAAAAATGAGGGTGCATGATTTAATTGATAATATCACCAACCAGTCATGACACAGTTGTGTAAAAACTTTCTACTGGGAGCTTCTGGTGACATCAAAAAAAGGATCAAGGCATCAGAGATTCATTAAAATGCAGGTTATTTGTGACATAATGATATGCTTAAATGTTTGTTTCTTCTAGTGGACTAAAAGCTACAAAAATGTAGCCATATCTTTCTCATTCATTGGTAAAGCTCCAATTTCTGACACATAATACATTCTCAGTGATCATATGTGGCATTGTCCAAGTAGATTTTACTTTCTATTCTCAGAATGAAGAAGTTGATAAAACATTTAAATACAAATGACAACAACAATTTTCTTTATAATTAAGTTCTTCATTTCCAATGAGTAAAGGTCTTTTTATAGATTAGACACAATTACTTTAAGGTTATTTTAGTATTTGACAGAGATAAACACACTATAGCGCAGAGAGACTGGTATCCTCAAACACTGCAAGTGGTTTTATAGATTGGTGCCAACTTTTAGAAAGCAATTTTCCAAATTTTATTAATAAGGACTGTTAGTATTGTTTGTTAAAATCTGATTCTGATTAACTTAAGCAAAAAGAAAGATTAAAGGGATCATTGTTGAAGAAATAATTGAACTACTGAAGGGCTATTCTGTGTGAAAATCCAGGATGGAGGATGCATGCCAGAGTAACCTGGAACCAGATTCTGCAGCACAGTGCTGCTCACAGAGTGGCAAGGGAGAAAGAGCCCTTCTGTGACACTCAAAACAGTGTGGAGGACATGGAGAATTCTTCTTTAGTGAATGCCAGCTAATAGAGAAGGAATGGTAAGAATTAGAAAATCACCATTTTATAAACCACAGTTTATAAACTGCTTCAGGCAGGGATCCTCAATTGTTACTAAAACAATTCCTTGTGATCCTCTTGGAGAAGTCTATATTCATAGATCTAAAGTGTCATCCCCATAAATTCCTTACTAACTATAGAAAAAGAAAATATCTTTACAATGGGAAAGTGTGGCAGTCAGCACCTTTAGCAGGTAATCAAACCTAGCTTCACCAGTAACAGGACACTAAATATTACTTACCTTTTGATATGATAGAATAAGAAATACAAAACATCACCTATGGAGTATTTGTAACAAAAATGTCATTTTGCTTTTATAGTGAAAAAAATTTAAGTAGAAAAGGAACTAAAAATGCACATTTCCCTTTAAAGTTGCACTAGTCATTACAATATGAAGATTTTCAGTAATTTTATATATTTCCTCCCTGAAAATACATTAACATCTGAAAATATTTGTCTTCTCTGGCACTTTTCCTCCAAATTCCGTTATTCATCATTATCTGCATATATGCTTTGGAAAAATGTTTGAAACAAAATCCAAATTGGCACTAAACTAGCCACTTTTACTTTAATAAATAGCAGTAACTAAATAATTTATTGATGTTAAGTGTTCATCTCAAATTACAGTATTTATTTTAGAATGATAGATGTGTGTATTTCAGATTCAATGTCTAAATAGTTTGATAAAATTTTTTCTTAAAATGCACCACATGGAGCAATAACTAACCAAGTTATTTTGCACCAATATACCCACTGATAACAACTTAAAAAAAAAACTAAATTAAGTATAAAACATGTTTTTTTGAGGCATCAAACAACTAACAAGCCAGTAATAAATTGCAGAGACAAAACCTAGGATTGAAAGAAAGCTCAGAGAGGTAAGTCTGACATTTGAGACTACTCTTTTCTTACAGGAGTCTGCTGACTTTAAAAGTGGCAGCTAAGAGTCTGAGAAGCTGAGCATAGCTTTGAGCAGACTACAGAGGCTGCTGGGACAGAAGTTGGGATTCTGGGATTTACCAAGGAAAGATAACCATGACAAAAAAAAAAAAAAACAACACAGGGATTTGACTGGGACATGTAAGGGTTGCATCTGGAAGTTAGGGTGAACAAAAAATAGACCAGCACTAACAGAGACTGAAGCCCAGTTTTGAGTCATTACTGCACACAACTGAATGAATGTTCAGCTAGGACTGCTAGTTCTGACCACTTGTCAGAAACAAAACTAAATCTCTAAAAGAAGATAAAATCTTCCACAATCTTAAAATAGCCCTACAAATTTTTACATATACTGTCTAGGACTCAATAAAAAATAACTGAACACATGAGAAGACAACAATTGATAATAAGAAACCAAAAGAAAAAAAGAAGGCAGACTCCAGATAATGGATTTATTAGATGTAGTTGAAAATAAGTATCAGTAGTGTTTTCAAGGAATTCCAAGTTCAGACTAAGAATTTTAGTAAGAATTTTAAAACTATATAAAAAAGAATCTAATAAATGGATTTAAGAACATATTAGACAAAGGTAAAAAGAGAATTAGTGAACTGAAAAGTAAGTAAAATGTTTCTTATTTTAAATATAGAATATATGAAATACAGAGGCTCCCCAACCTACAATGGGGTTATGTCCCAATAAACCTATCATAAATTAAAACAACTGTAAGTCAAAAATGCATTTAATACACCTAACATACTGAACATCATAGCGTAATTTAGTCCACTATAAATGTGCTCAGAATACTTACATTAAACCCACAGTTGGGCAAAATAATCTAACACAAAACATATTTTATAATAAAATACTGTTGAATACTGTACACAGTGTATTAGTCAGTTCTTCTACTGCTATAAAGAAATACCTGAGATTGGGCAATTTATGAAGAAAAGAGGTTTATTGGATCATGGTTTTTCAGGCTGTACAGGAAGCAAGGCAGCATCTTCTTGGCTTCTGGGGAGGCCTCAGGAAACTTACAATCATGGCTGAAGGCAAAGTGGGAGCAGGTGTCTTACGTGGCAAGAGCAGGACCATGAGAGTGGGGTGGTGCGACATACTTTTAAACAACTGGATCTTTCAATAACTCACTCACTCACTATCACAAGAACAGCACTGCGGGGATGGTGCTAAACCATACCCATGATCCAATCACCTCTCATCAGACCCTCCAACATTGAGGATTACAATTCGACATGAGATTTGGGCACGGACACAGATCCAAACCATATTACACAGATAAGCATTCTATAGATATGACGGGATGCAAAAACACAACATTCAAAAAAAGCTGGGGATGCAGTACACCGTTGTTCACCCTTTCTATCATATGGCTTACTGGGAGCCACAGCTTGCTGCCAACGCCCAGCAACACGAGAAAGTATCATACCACATATGACTAGACCAGTATCGCTTTTACACCATTGTAAAGTCAAAAAAACCATTAAGTCAAACCATCCTAAACTGGGGAGGATCTGTGTGTGTATCAGCAAGGTCTACCTTATGATTATTTATAATTTCATTAAAAAGGGAGGAGCTAATCTAGCAGAAGCAATATTTGAAGACATAATGACTAAAAATTATCCAAAATTGACAAAACACATAAGGTCTTTAAAATAGAGCCTGGGAATACTCTAACTTCATTTACTTTAGTAAACTTATATACTATTATTTTTATCTATTTTAAATTCCATATGTATTTCCAGCGCCAGAAAACATTATCTTAATTATAATTTTATTATTTATTCAGTTAATATTTATTTAAATGTACCCACATTATTTCTCCTCTCCACTACTCTTTATTTCTTTGCATATTTTCAAGTTTACATCTGAAATCACTTTTTTTCAAAAAAGACTTTCTTTTGTATTTCCTTTGGGTGCTCTGCTGGTGATTAATTCTAGTTTTTGTGTGTCTGAACAAAGTCCTTATTTCCTCCTTACTTAGTTCCTTGTAAAGATTTAAGAATCCTTACAAATCCCAAGCAGGAAAATAAAACAGAAAGCTAGACATATGTATATAAGTATAAAACTACAAGAAAATACATACAACATGAAAATCTTTAAAGCAGTAAGAAAAGGTCCAACTACCATCAAAGAAACAACAATGGGACTGGTAACTGATTTTTCAGTGAAAACAGTGGTAGCCTGGAGGCAATGGAATGATATCTCCAAAATGCTTTCTTAAAAATGTGGACAACCTAGATAACCAACAAGTATATCCTTCAAAAGTGGACAGAGCTGGGCACAGTGGTGTGTGCCTATAGTCTCATCTACTGAGGAGGCAGTGGTGGGAGAATTCCTTGAGCCCAGGAGTTTGAGGCTGAAGTGTACTATAATCACACTTGTGAATAGCCACTGCACTCTATCCTGGGCAGCATAGCAAGACTTTGTCTCAAAAGAGAAAAAGTAAAGAGGAAATAAGGACTTTTCAAACACACAAACACTAGAATTAATTACGAGCAAACCACCCAAAAAGAAATACTAAAGAAAGCCTTTCTTGAAAAAAAGTGATTCCAGATGGAAACTTGAAAATATGGGAAGATATAAACAGTAGTGGAGAGGAGATACATGTGAACATATTTAAATGATTATTAACTGAATAAATAATAAAATTAAGTAAAAATAATGCTCTATGGGGTTCCAAATACATAGGGAATTAAAGTACATAAACAATAGCATATAAATTATGACTGAAGTAAGTGAAGTTAGAGTATTCCAAGGCTCTTGCATTGTTTAGAAAGTGGCAAAAGAACTAATTTATAATAGAAATTAATATTCAAAGATGTATATTGTGATCTCTAAGGTAACCACTAAAAGACCAGTAAAAGAATTTATAACTATAAAGATGGCAAAGGGAGAAATGGAATAATAGAAAAATAATTTATCAGAGAGAAGGCAAAAAAATTGAAAAAGAAAAATAGGACTGATGGGAAATGGGAAAAAAACAAAGTAAATTGTAATACAGTGAACTTAACCTCAAATAAATCAGTAATTATATTAAATATAAACAAAGTAAATATTCTAATTAAAAGATAAAGATTGTCAGAGTGGATTAAGAGGGAAAAAACACTCTAAGCTACCTGCAAGAAACTAACCTTATATATAAATATACAGACATATTAAAAGTAAAAGAATGGAAAAATATATACCATGCAAACACTAACAAAAAAAATTACTAGAGGTAAAGAGGAAATTTAATAATGACAAAAGTTTCAATTCACTAAGAAGATGCAATAATTCTAATTTTTATATACTTATAAAAAGGTCTTAAAATATATAAAACTATTAAACAATAAAAGGTTTTAGAAAATGCAATTTATTAAAATCAGTCAAAAACTAGTGCCTTCTAAATTTTATCACTTTAGTAACAATGAAAAAACTAATGGAAAAAATCTTATTTAATATTTAAAAGAGAAGAAATACAACTTCAACATTTTGCATTTAAATTCATATATTGCAATCCATTCCCATCACACAGGTGACCTGAAAGAAAAAAATCCACAATATGCCAGAATCTCCACAATGCTGCAACCATTTTATTTGCTTAAATATAATGACACCTTCAAGGGCATCGCTACTCTCTTTTCTTAATTTTAAGAATAAACATATATTTGTAGTCCATGATGTTTAGAATGAGTCCATTTTCATGAATTAAAAGAAAGTATATCTTGAGTCTCCTACATGATATTTTCTAAGCCATCACTGAACATCTCTATTTTTTATTTATTTATTTGTTTGTTTGTTTATTTATTTGGAGATCAGATCTCATCATGTTGACCAGACTGGTCTCTAACACCTGGCCTCAAGCAATCCTCCCATCTCGGCCTCCCAAAGTGCTGGGATTACAGGCGTGAGCCACCATGCCTGGCCACTGAACATCTTTAGTCAATAGTTCATGTTAATTTGCCTACAAGTTTTATACTTATATAGATTATCTACATAAGTGAGGGTAATAGAAGTATATGTCAACTATTATTACCAACAATCATATTTATTGATCTGTTTTAGTGTCCCAGTGCACCTTACAATTTCTTCCCAAACTCAATGTCTTGCTAGTCCCATACAGGATGTGGCAAGGCCAAATTGGCTACAAAGGGCCCAGACAGGGATCTGAGATTAATCAGAGTTTGGGGCAGGCAAGTAGTAGAATCTAGGGAGTTTCAGCTAATGCAGGCAGTTGAGAAGCAGACACCCGGGCAGAGTCTAGAGTCTAGTCCGCAGGGTGAGCAAGAATAGAATGGCTAAATTGAAATGGCTATTGAGGATCCAAATCCACAGATGATTTTGTTCCCACTCTGTATAGGTAAACTTGGACCTACAGTCTTTCACCATTATAGTAAGCCCTGACAATATAATAATTATTAGGACTACTTTATCCCCAAGAATGAAATATCTAGGAATTGAAAAAATTTGGAATTGGTATTTGTCAGATTTTGAAGTCTCAGTCCAGGTTTAAACTCCACTTCTGTAACCTTACTTGTTCAAATTCCTTTGTTATGTATCTAACTTTTGGTATCTACATAACCTACATGATACTGGTTCTAAGAGGTTAAAGTAAACTCCTGAGGTTTTGCATACAGGAAAGGAAAGACGTTTAACAGACTTATACAAGAATTACCATGGTCCTACTGTTCCCGCCCAGTGGGGGACCTTTTTTAGTTCAGACTCAAACTGCAAATTACTTTCCCATCACAAAAATAAGTGAAATAAAGCCCCTCACATTGCAGCATGCATGTAGAATACAGAGGCAATACATAGAGTATTGAAAAAGAAGCCGAAGCTGCAATCCAGTAAACAAAAAGAGAATCCATTTCCAAGAGAATAAAATGGAATAAGCAGAAGGCATTAAACAGGAAGCACTGGATAGAAGCCACCTCCTTCAAAGACAATTGATAATGTCTCTATATTGACAATAAACTCAGAGCAATGATAGAATTTTTTAAAAACCCTTTTGTAATGGGTCATTAAGACAACGAATTAAGGATATAACTTTCCTAGCACAGATAGGCACAAGACAGGAGACATGTGCAGAACAACACAGACAACTCAAGAAAAGAAAACAGGTCAGAAATAAGTCTTTAGCTTATCGTGGTTAAATGATTCAATAATAACTTTAAAAAGAAGATGTGAACATTAATTTCTGGATTAGTTCATTATTCATGCCTTATTATGAACACCACAGAATACTTTTATATAGTTCTCATTTCAAAATATACGCTTAACAATTTCCAATTAATTTCTCCTATTGCTGCTAAATTTTTCAAGTTAAAAACTCTCCAATCTCCATATAGATAATTTATCAGTACTAAATGGACCCACTTAATTATTTTGACCAAGATATTGCTGCCCAGAGAATCAAATGAGTTAAGGAATTTATCATACACGTTGGGCTTTCGTGGTGAGGAATAGAGAACAGCAATACATTTCATGTTATTCAGGTGGAAGTGCAAGGTTCTTCCAATTGCACAGTAGACACTTGACCTCTGGCAACTAAGTGAATTCCAGTCTCCACAAAATGCTGATTCTGAAGCTTTTTTAAAAACCCTCTTTTAAGCCCATATTCATCTCCAGCTACTTTTCTTTGACTGACTTTTCCTCTATACAAAATGTTGGTAAGTTGCCAGATTGGAATAAGTTGAAGAGCCTGTGGGAGATGCAGAAAAAGATAAAGAGAGAGAACAGGCAAGTCTCACTAGACATTTTGTATGAAGGAGGGCATTAAGACCAATCTGCTATGCTACAATTTGACAGTGGCTACATTCTTTGCCTAAAGCCACACTAAGTGTCTCCTAAGACTCATCAATATACTTCCTTTTTTAATTTCATGTGCTCTTCAACTACTTATTCTGATATAGAAACTGTAGACTTTGGGAAAATGAAACTGCTGTCAAATCACAGCATAACAGGGAGGGAGGCAGGATCTTTCTCTTCTCTCATTGGCTTAACCCAGTATCAAGCCAGAAGCAAGGGAGCCCGGCTGATGTAATTCATAATATCTTATTCCCAGGGCACAGAGTAGCATGGAGAAGCATGGACAGACAAACAGAGAATAGCCATAATTCTCCCTCAGTTTTATCTTTAGTCCGACAACTCTCCTCAACGGTAATTTTATTTTCTTCTGTCTGATCACTAAATGTTGGAATGTCATAGTCATTCTTAGGCTCTCCTGTCTTTTCACTCCACACTATACACAGAAGAGATACTTCATACTTACGGTTGCAATTACCACCTACACACCAATGATCCACAAATGTGCAATTCCAATCCAGACCTCTCCCCTGAACTTGAGACCAAAATATCCAAGTGCCTCTTGGACGTCTCCTGTTCAATGTTCCAAACTCAACATGTTCACAACCACCTTCATAATCTTCCCCTCTAAATGGGACCCCCTTCCAGTGTTTCCCCTCCCTACAAATGACTGCACTAGTCAGAACATTCTGCAATCACAGAATCATCTTCTTCACATTTCATACGCAATACATTAGTAGGCACAATGGATCTGTCCTGAAAAATCTCTCAAACTGATCCACTACTGTTCATATCCACCACCACCAAGGCACAAGGACCTTCATCTGCACCAAGACTACTATTGCCCACCTCACTCCTACCACTACTCGAATCTGTTTTCAACTTAATAGACAAAGTAATCTTTAAAAATACTCATAAGTCTGGTCGTTTCACTGCCTTGCTCTAAAGCCTTCAGTCATTTTTTAGTCTCTGACGAGAACTTTATCATGATCTACAAGGCTTCCTCCAGATTCTCTCCCTCCTTATTCCTTCTCACTCTCTGTGCTCTTGTCATACTGCCATTAGTTCCTGAGAAAGGCTGAGCCTCTGCCTGCCAGAGGACATTGTGCATGGACCCCTTTGAATGAAATGCTCTGCTGTGGCCACCACCTTAATCCTTTGGCAACACAATTGCAACTCACACTCCAGATCTTAGCTCAGACAAGTTGTAATTTTTCTAGGAGAAAGCCTTCTTGCCCCCTCCTTTCAAGCTAATAGGCTCCCTCATAGCACTGTGCGCCTTTCCTTCATAGAACTTATTACCTCATTTGTCGGTTTTAGTTTTTGTGTTGTTGCTGTTGTTGTTGTTTTGGAGCCTGGGTCTCGCTCTGTCGCCCAGGCTGGAGTGCAGTGGTGTGATCACTACTTATTGCAGCCTTGAACTCCTGGGATCAATCAATCTTCCCACCTCAGCCTCCCAAATAGCTAGGACTACAGGAGCACACCACCATGTCTGGCGAATTTTTTGTATGTTTTGTGGAGACAGGGTTTCACCACATTGCCCAGGCTGGTCTCAAATTCCTGCGCTCAAGTGAACTGCCTGCCTTGGCCTCTCAAAGTGCTGGGATTACAGGTATGAGACACTGCACCCAGCTCACATTTCTAATTTTAAATTTGTTGGGGGGTGATTATTTGATTAGTGTTCCCTGTCCTCAGTAGACTGTAAGATCCATGTGAACAGGACCATGTCTACTTTGGCTTACAGTATTCACAGCACTGTGCCTAGCATATGGTATGTGATTGACAGATATATCTGCTAAATGGAGGTGGGAATAGATGACTGGATGAGTGAATAAATGAATGAATGGAAATAGTCAACGTTAATCCTGCACTTGGCAAGCACTGTCATTCCAGCTGGGAGGTCTTTGGTGTTGGCTAATAATACAAGAGACTGAGACATGAAATACAAAGTAAAAACTGAATTTTTAATTATTTCAAGATTTGTGTAAATAAGAAACTCTATTCAAGCAGTCCCTTGGGTGGGCCCTGCCTCAGGCATGCTGGGACCTCAGCACCCCAGGCCAGAAGGAAAGAGGAAGAGCCCAGGGCCTACAGCACACATCAGTGCAGGGCCCACTGTAAGGTGAGGAGCTCAGGAAAACAGTCCAAGATGCTTAGGTTAACACTTGGGCGCTCAGAGTTGACAGAAAGGTTAACACAGAGTTCAGTTCCTGTTAGAGCAGTCCTGCAGGGGTTTGCCATACCTGTCAGTGAGCTGTAAAGACTTTCCAATCAGATAATACACACGAGAGCCTAGAGAGAAGACGGAAAGGAAACTAGTCAAACTGGCTGTCTGATCAAACTGGCTGTCTTTACATGGGTGAGTGCTTTTGTCGCAGGGAAACCATTTGTGCATCTCAATGTTCCTCACGCGGATGCCAGCATTCTTTTTTTCACTTCCAAAATGTTTTCCAGCTCTCATGTAAATCTGGTCTATAATTCAGCAAAATTATTTTTAGGAAGATAACACACTGTTTCATCTTTGAGCCTAAAGTGAATAAAAGTTTTAAAAACTTGTTTTGGAAATAATATAATGACTTCTCTGTATCTGAATATACCATGTAACTATGGGTGAAAAACAAAACCTGCAGCTAACAACTATAATTTGTAAGGTTGCATTGTTAGCCTGAGGAGCTGCCAAGGATGTTTGGAACTAGGAATTTTTTAAACGCCGTGACAACTGGTATTCTTTAACATCAGATAAATTAATTTTATCTATCTACACAAAATTATCAAGTCTCAGACTCCCTGGCAAGTTGTATTTTGTTTGTTGTTTGTGAGACTTTTCAAGTTTTTATTCATTTTTTATGTCTATGGTACTCCTACCTTCATGTGACCATTTTCAGTTATTTGTAGAGCCTGACGGGACGCATACAGCATGCATACAGAGAGTGAAGGAAAGAAAGAACAGACCCAGGAAATGCCTTTCCTCAGAGGCATGATAATGCCAAGGCTCAGACTTGACTTTGCAGTTTTCCAAACTTGTCTCTGTTTCCATTAGCAACTGTGAAATACAACCAGCACAGTGTTTCACATTGAGACTGCTTTTGCCAGGAGGTTGCATAATTAGATTGAATGTGCTTAATCTCTCCTAGAGCTAAAACATGGAAAGATTTCATTTGATGAATTAGAAAAAAATAAACAGTGGAAAGTATTTAAAACAAGCATTTGTGGGTTTCTAACATCAATACATAATGTCTTTTCCTGGTTTGGTTTCAGAAGTTGCACATCAAAACTGCTATATCTAATGGTGAGGTTTGTAGAAAAAGTTGTTGCAGTTGCTTCTTACAATGGGAGCCAGAATTAAAAAACCATTGCACCATAATATCGCTCATTAGAGAATCAGGGGAAGAAAACAAAGCTATCTCATTCAGTAAATGACCTGTGATACTGAGGCATTATGTTTGGCCTGATGGGGGAGAAGTGAACCAAAGTCGTGCCTCTATGAGCTTGCAACTGATTAAGAAAAATTTTAGCGTTAAAAATAATACATAATGTAACTGTGACTATTTTACATGTCTTAAGATTGTCAAATTCCTTTGTGCTGACAAGGATTAGAGATTTCTCACAAAAAAATGTCAGTTGAGCTGAACCTTAAAAGAAATAAATAAATGCACAGAGGCAAGAAGCACAAATACCATCTAATTCCTGCTCTAGTCTAAAATTCCACTGCAACCATGATCAAAGTATCCACTTTGAAAACAACAAGTAGGTTTTCTGAGTGTTTTAAACTCTATTTATTTTTTATTTTCTATTAAGTTTAAATACCAGAACTGGTACTAACTCTAATCGCCTAAACTAATACATAGATTCCCATCCTTCAAGGTAACTAAAGAGATTGGTTTTGTTTTCTTTTAAATTTCACAGTCACATAGGTATAGTTTTTGTTTTTATTTGTTTTACCACAGGTAAGGATTAAATCAGGCTGAAATATGCTGGTTTTAAAAGCTTTACTTATCACACTTTCATCTGAAAATAGCTTCACCATCAAATACTTCCTCTTCCATATACCTAATGTGTAGTTACCTCCCACTAGATACCATTTCTGCCAAGAAGCTAAAAGGTCCTTACTCCCTTCAGACCTGTTCATCCCAACACAGTCTTTCCTAGACACACACACACACACACACACACACACACACTCACACACACATTGTGGGAAAAGGAATAAAACTCTGCCCCCAGATATCTCCTCATTTTCATGAAGCTATCCCCTGAAAGCCCATAGAATATTGCATTATGAAGAGTGACGGTGTGTTAACTTCACACATTCTGATAAGCTCAGACTTATAAAACCACCTCCTGATGACTGACTCCTCTCTCTCTGTGTATATATATATATACACAGAGACAGATATAGCTATAGAGTAGTTGCCCAATTTCTCTTGACTGCCTCAGACGTAGAGAACTCAGCATGTTCCACGTAAGCCTTTTTACAAGTACTAATTTCTTCAGTTAGCTATCATTCAACAAACAACAGTACCTGTCATAATTTCATACTTTTTAATTTTGAAATAAGATTATCTGGGGGTGGGACCTAAAGCATCAAGATTTTGACAGCTCCCAGACATAATATTCAACCAAGGAAGCTCCAAGAGAATGGGATTGTTGTAGGAGTTACTAAGAAATTATTTTAGGCAGATAGAGAGGAAAAGGGGTCCTTGGGAAGTTTTAATTTTTAAAGCATCCCCAGAAAAGTTTCTTGTAAAGCCCTGGCTCTTAGAACCAGGCCGGCAAACTTTGATATGCAAATGCAGGCCATTAGAAACTGGGTCCACCCAACATTGCAATTCCCGTGCCCTTCTTGCCCTTGCCCCACATGTGCCTGGAAGCATGGTCGCCCCCACATATCCCTGCGTGTGTGGAACATCATGGCGCCTTGAATTTGCATATTAAAAGGCTAGGCTGGGAGGGCCAGTTTTTTGTGGGCTACGTGAATGACATGCCTGGTCAAACCAATCCCCTGAGCCCTATGCAAATCAGACACCACCTCCTCCAGCCATGGAATACAGCTGGTTGATATTACCTGAAAGCAGGGTTCTGTCTGTCTCTTGACTTTGGAGCCTCCCTCCCTCTGTCTCTGCGCAGGGGAGCTGCTTCTTTCTTTCTTCCCCCTTCTTTCTTGCCTATTAAACTCCCTGCTCCTTAAAACTACTCCACGTGTGTCCGTGTTGGTTTTTCTAATTCGACTCGAGAGGAAGAACCTGGTGTTCCTCCACTCATTGGAGCTGTATCAGGATCATGTCTGTCACTCTGTCTTGTTTGTTTAGCGGTCGACCACTAGCCCGTGCGCAGTGCCTGGGCATGGGAGGCTCTTTTTAAAATGATTCATCAAATTGTCATTAATGAAACTAGTACATGGTTAATTAATAGAAATAGTTCATTGATTGAGGTGACAGAAAGAGAGTCTCAGTAGAGTGGGAACAATTATTTGAAAAGTCTCATAATTCTGATGACATAATCAACCTGCACTCTTCCACTGTCATAGCTGGGAATCACTAAATTGGACTACACAATGTTAGAACTGGAAGGGCCTTAGAGATGACTTGGTCATTGGCTTTCAGCTTGGAATCTGCCAAGCCCTCGAGTTTCTTAGTGGGACCTCAAGGGTGGGTAAGGTGGTGAGGGGAAGGCCAAGCCAGTGGGGACCCAGCTTCCATGTCATCTCTCCAACAGAGGAACTTTGCTTTTATTCCTTCATTCAGCAACTACTTGCTGAGTATATACATTTCACCAGGTTTATGGTTATGCTAAGGACACAGGAATGAGAAAAAAAATTGCCTTTCTTATAACTCACAATTGTACATGGTTTATTTGTTGAGTTCTACATAAGATTTCTTCTGAAAAAGAGCTCTTTGATAGCTAGATAGATAACGCAGATATGTAAACAAACTAAAGGCCTACTTCTTCACTTTATAGATAAACTGAGATTAAATGAATTACTGAATTAACGGTCAAAAACATGTCAGAACCAAGACCGAACTCTACTTCCTCTGTCACCAAGCCCAGTGGTCTATCCATATGACATTTCACATTATAGAAGTAGTGGTTTCATGAAAGAACTGAGACTACATACAAGAACAGATCCTTACCATCTCCCTCATGGAGTTTAGAGTTCCGTAAAAATGGAACTGCCAGTAGCTCGGTATATTGGTCAGCATAACTGGTTGCAAGTACCTAAAACACCAACTCAAACTGGATTGAACCATACAGAGAACTTATTGATTCATGTAACTGAAAAGTCCAAAAGGAGGTACAGTTTCAGAAGATTGATCCAATGGTTCATACAATGTGACTAGAACATAGTTGCTTCCTCTTGTTCCTCAGCAATATTTCCTTAGCAATGGCTCCATTCCCAACAGGCATTCTCCTTGAAGTCTCAAGAAGGTGTCCAGGCTACATGTTTTCAGTAGAAAAGAGAAAATCTGCTTACCAGAACTGGAATCCCAGAACATAATCTTATTGATCTGAATTCATCTGTACCTATCTGGGCTAATATGCTGATGGGCTTAAGGTGACTGAGAACTCTGAATCTGATTGTATCTGAATCTAACTGAGCAACCCAGTTAGCCAATGAGAATTCTAATGAGAAATCTAAACTTTTAAAGTTTATTAAACATTCAAACATGAACACTAAAACATAATAGTGCTAGTGTTTCCGGATGTGTTTTTCTTTGCTATAATATTACATATTGTTCAAATTTGTATAAGATAATATTTAAATGACGAGTGTAAAAAGTTTGCAATACACATTTGACTCTTGTACATCCAAAGATGCTTTGTCTTGGTTATACGGTGGTTGATAAATAAAAACTGTAGGCTTATTCACAACCTTTCCTCAAACTTATGTACTTGAGCTGAGTCCTAAATAGCCACAAACAAAATATGCTATTCTTGCTTATAAGTACTATTTTAAAAGTAAAAGATGGCACACTTGGTGTGAATGCTCAGTTGTTGCTTTTAATTATAAATACATTTGGAGTTATATTTTTTGTGTTGGTATGAAACAATGTGTTTTCATGAAGCTAACATTAAGTTTACACTGACCCCACTGATAGCATCTGCCATCTCGTCTTCTGAAATTATAACATTTCTGAGATTGTATGAATTGGTAGAAATTATTTTATGTGTATGTGTACAATGATAAGTGATTTTTAAATTTTACTTTCTCCATTATATTTCTTAGGCTTCTCTTAAGCCAACAGTTCAAATTTGAGAAAAAAGTAGTATCATTACCTACTCATAATATTTGTGAAGATATTTATATGATGGAAATTATAAAGAAGATGACCCATCTTCATTTATTCCTATCTCCTAGTCAAACTTTTTTTTCATAATTTTTTTTTGGTCTGGCATTGTCACATAATGACTGAAAAAGTGCCTCTTATGATCTTCACACCTGATAAATGAATGAGTGACTGGATATACTGTAGAGTGTCAGAGTGTTTAGGGAAGCCTAGCACAATCTATGGAAGATTGTACCGAGGAATGTTTGTTCACTATTTGATTGACTCTATGGTGAAGATGTAATAATAGTTGACATTGCAAACACAATGTGCTTTGCATGTTTTCACACATTCAAATCTTCACAATAACCTTATGAGGTTATTATCTTAATTTCACAGATGAGGATTATTAACACAAAGAGGCTAATTTTCTCACATGCCTCTTCTAAATGTCTGTTTTTATTCTCATCTGTCTAATCTGTCTACTATGATTCTCTCAAAGCATAGAAAATTGGTTCTCAACCCTGCTCCCCATGAGGTAAACAGGATATGTTTTTAAATAATGATTATCTTAAAATACAAAAGACCAATGATAGAAACTACAGGTGAAGATGAGGAGCAACTGCAATTTCCATCTTTGACAAATAGGAATGTAAATAGGTACAACCACATTGGGACAAACAATTTAATCTAACAAATTATTTGGCATATGGTAAGTAAATGGGCAGATTACCTCCACTGCTTTGATTTGCATTTATTTTGACTGTGAATAATGTCTGGTTCTGAGTAGCTCTTGGGAACTACCAGACACTCCTGCTAGCACCCCAGAAAAGTGGGCCTTCAACCCTCTCACTGCTGACACAGCTGACACTCCTTTGATCCAACGTTTTTCAATCTTCCCTGCTCTCAGATGCCTTATTTTCTGTTTTCTGCCCTAAGCTCCTCTAGATCTGATACTCAGTGCTACTATGACCATTCCTTTCCTTCTGTTACTTGTGCTTTCCCTCCAACTGACTGGCCTCAGTGGTTCTGGGCGAACTTTCTCCTACGCCCCTACCCGGGCCCAACTCATTCATGGCTAGTGTTTCCCTGGGATCAACCCATGGGTCCAGGTCTCTCTTCTCAGAACAGCCTAGAGACAGTTGAGTTTCACAGTAATTTCTTGGCAGAACTACTCTAGTAAGAAGGATCATCTGCCAGGCTTTATGTGAGACCCGGACATGAATCCTGATAGTTGGTGCAAAAGTAGTCGCGGTTTCAGACCCTGAATTTTAAATTATTATAACTAGGCTCAAACACATCTTTATTAATGAAAATACAAACCATTACAATTAAAACATTTTTGCCAATGAGAAATAAGTTTGTTTATTCCTGTAGCATAAAAATCCATGCTTAGGGATTCAACAAACTCTTGGAAAGCATTTTCTGCATCCTGCTGGTTGTGGAAGCGTTCTCCCTGAAAAATGTTGTCAAGATGCTTGAAGAAGTGGTTGGAGAAAGGTCAGGTGAATATGGCACATGAGGCAAAATTTCGTAGCCCAATTTATTCAACTTTTGAAGCATTCATTGTGCCAATGTATGGTCAGGCGTTGTCCTGGAGAAAAATTGGGCCCTTTCTGTTGACCAATGCTAGCTGCAGGCTTTGCAGTTTTTGGTGCATCTCATCAATTTGCTGAGCATACTTCTCAGATGTAATGGTTCCACCAGGATTCAGAAAGCTGTAGTGAATCAGACCGGCAGCAGACCACCAAACAGTGACCATGACCCTTCTTTGGTAAAAGTTTGGTGTTGGGAAGTGCTTTGAAGCTTCTTCTTGGTCCAACCACTGAACTGATCATTGCTGGTTGTCGTATAAAATCTACTTTCGTCGCACGTCATAATCCGATTGAGAAATGGTTCATTGCTGCTGTGTAGAATAAGAGAAGATGACACTTCAAAATGACGATTTTTAAAAATTTTTGGTCAGCTCATGGGGCATCCATTTATTGAGGTTTTTCACCTAATTTCCTTCAAATGCCAAATGATGGTAGAATGCTCAACACTGAATTCTTCAGGCACTTCTCCTGTAGTTGTAAGAGGATCCGCTTCGATTATTGCTCTCAATTGGTCGTTGTCAACTTCCTACGGCCAGCCACTATGCTCTTCATCTTCAAGGCTCTCGTCTCTTTTACTAAACTTCTTGAACCACCACTGCACTGTGTATTTGTTAGCAATTCCTGGGCCAAATGTGATGTTGATGTTGCAAGTTGTCTCCACTGCTTTATGACCCATTTTGAACTTGAATAAGAAAATCGCTTGAATTTGCTTTTTGTTGTTGCGGGAAGTCAGGGACCCCAAATGAAGGGACCGGCTGAAGCCATGGCAGAAGAACGTGGATTGTGAAGATTTCATGGACATTTATTAGATCCCCAAATTAATACTTTTATAATTTCTTACGCCTGTCTTTACTGCAATCTCTGAACATAAATTGTGAAGATTTCATGGACACTTATCACTTCCCCAATCAATACCCTTGGGATTTCTTATGCCTGTCTTTACTTTAATCTCTTAATCCTGTCATTTTCGTAAACTGAGGAGGATGTATGTCACCTCAGCACCCTGTGATGATTGTGTTAACTGCACAAATTGTTTGTAGAACATGTGTGTTTGAACAATATGAAATCTGGGCACCTTGAAAAAAGAACAGGATAACAGCAATGTTCAGGGAACAAGAGAGATAACCTTAAACTCTGACCACCAGTGAGCCAGGCAGAACAGAGCCATATTTCTCTTCTTTTCAAAAGTAAATGGGAGAAATATCGCTGAATTCTTTTTCTCAGCAAGGAACATCCCTGAGAAAGAGAATGCGTCCCTGAGGGTGGGCCTCTAAAATGCCCCCCTTCGGTGCGGCTGTCTTTTATGGTCCAGCTGTAGGGATGAAATAAGCCCCAGTCTCCCATAGCACTCCCAGACTTATTAGGACGAGGAAATTCCCACCTAATAAATTTTTGTCAGACCGGATGTCTGCTCTCAAACCCTGTCTCCTGATAAGATGTTATCACTGACAACGCGTGTAGAAACTTCATTAGCAATTTTAATTTCACCCTCATCCTGTGGTCCTGTGATCTCGCCCTGCCTCCATTTGCCTTGTGATATTCTATTACCTTGTGAAGCACATGATCTCTGTGACCCACACCCTATTTGTGCACTCCTTCCCTTTCGAAAATCACTAATAAAAACTAGCTGGTTTTGTGGCTTGTGGGGCATCACGGAACCTACTGACATGTGATGTCTCCCCCGGATGCCCAGCTTTACGATTTCTCTCTTTTGTACTCTGCCCCTTTATTTCTCAAACTGAATTTGCTTTTTGTCTAACATCATTTCCATAGTCTAAAATAAACATAAAATAAACAGCAAGTAATAAGTTATTAGCAAAAAATAGCCATAATTCCCATATATTTAAGAATGAATTCCTTTATCAAATGACAAATTCTAACAACGCAAAAACCGTAATTACTTTTGCACTCACCTAATATTTTGGGTCTACCACAATCCTTGCTCAACATAAACTACTCGAAATGTGTTTAATTCTATTAAACACTGATCAGAAGCTTGCATAAGTCAATTTTTAAATGTTTCTCAAAAAAACGGATTTGCTATTTTTACATGAAAACACATCCTGAAAACAAACAACCCCATCAACAAGTGGGCGAAGGATATGAACAGACACTTCTCAAAAGAAGACATTTATGCAGCCAAAAGACACATGAAAAAATGCTCATCATCACTGGCCATCAGAGAAATGCAAATCAAAATCACAATGAGATACCATCTCACACCAGTTAGAATGGCGATCATTAAAAAGTCAGGAAACAACAGGTGCTGGAGAGGATGCGGAGAAATAGGAACACTTTTACACTGTTGGTGGGACTGTAAACTAGTTCAACCATTGTGGAAGCCAGTGTGGCGATTCCTCAGGGATCTAGAACTAGAAATACCATTTGACCCAGCCATCCCATTACTGGGTATATACCCAAAGGATTATAAAACATGCCGCTATAAAGACACATGCGCACGTATGTTTATTGTGGCACTATTCACAATAGCAAAGACCTGGAACCAACCCAAATGTCCAACAATGATAGACTGGATTAAGAAAATGTGGCACATATACACCGTGGAATACGATGCAGCCATAAAAAAGGATAAGTTCATGTCCTTTGTAGGGACATGGATGAAGCTGGAAACCATCATTCTCAGCAAACTATCGCAAGGACAAAAAACCAAACACCGCATGTTCCACTCATAGGTGGGAACTGAACAATGAGAACACATGGACACACGAAGGGGAACATCACGCACCAGGGCCTATTGTGGGGTGGGGGAAGCGGGGAGGGATAGCATTAGGAGATATAGCTAATGTTAAATGACAAGTTAATGGGTGCAGCACACCAACATGGCACATGTATACATATGTAACAAACCTGCACGTTGTGCACATGTACCCTAAAACTTAAATATAATTAAAAGAAAAAAAGAAAACACATCCTGGATGATGTATGTAAATACAGATTAGTTGAAGCTGTTTTTTTTTTCCATTTGAATAAGTGTCACAAAAGTGTCGAACACAAAAGCTGTAAATAAACAGTTTTATAGGAGCAGATTGGGAGAAGTATAAGAATTTTCTGTTTAACAAAAGAAAAGAAAGAAAAAAATACCTTTTAAGGTAGATAACGATGTTATCAAGCTGTTTATTTCTTAAACTTGTTTCTAGTAACTGATGCAAAAAAAGAAGAGGAAAAGAGCTGAAGTCTTTAAGATGTCATTACAAAGTACTACTTACTAAAATAATACACAGTAAAACAGCGTTACAGACAATCTTTAAAGGAACACACAAAAGCCAAGGTCACATTGCTGATACAAAGCTTTCCCTGATGGACCCTTTCTGCCAAAATCCATGTGTGCTTTGATGTCCAAAATAAAACTTGGGTATAAAACCCACCTTTCTATGCACTAGACTCAGGGCCTTTGAAAGATATTTTGTTCTTCTATAGACCACACAAGATTTGCATCATTTTTCTTCTATTCCTAGTGCAGAGATAATTATTTTCTTCCCAGCTGTTAAGTTTCCATTCATGTACATGAGGTATGTGTGGTTCATTTCAGGATTCTCAACCTCCTAAAAAATAGTGGTTGCTGCATGTATTAGTCCATTCTTACACTGCTATAAAGAAATACATGAGAATGGAGATTTATAAAGAAAAGAGGTTTTCATTGGTTCCTGGTTCCTCAGGCTATACAGTAAGCATGGCAGCATTTGCTTCTGGGGAGGCCTTAGGGAGCTTTTACTTGTGGTGGAAGACAAAGCAAGCAGGAGCAGGTGTCTTACAAGGCAGGAGCAGGACCAAGGAGAGAAGAAAGAGGTGCTACATACTTTTAAACAACCAGATCTCACGATAACTCACTCCTAAGCCATTCATGAGAACTCCGCTCACATGATCCAATCACCTTCCACCAAGCTCCACCTCCAACACTGGGGATTAGAATTCAATATGAGATTTGGTGGGACACAGATCTAAACCATATCACTGCATGTCACAACGTGTCACATTCTGGAATAAATATATATATTTAACGAAGTGTATTAATTAATGCTTTTTTGGTTGTGACAGAATTCAGTTTGGCATATGCAAAGAAAAAAATTAGGTGGGGGGAGGGTAGAGTAAAAATTAATTTCCTCATGAGACTCAATAGGTCAACGGTACCTACCTGACAGGATTAGATCGGCCTTAGAGAATGATTGCATTTAAGAACCCAACCTTGTCTATGTGGTTCTCTCCATTCCTTGATTTTGCTTATCTTTGTATATATTGACTTTATTTTCTCCTACTATAGATGGCTTTCTCCTTGCAGCATTGGAAGGAAAAGGATGGCTGTAGACAGCTCCAGGTTTGTATTATTCTAGTCAGTTCACTAAGAGAAAAGAGACATATTCTCTCTTCCAGTGTCCACATATAAAATTCTATGGCAGTATGACAGAATCAAGCAGTTCTTGATTGGCAGACACACATGAAATGCATGGAGTAGAGGACTAACAGTTCACCAAATGAAAGGGAGATGCCATGACCCAAAGATGTGGGTGAGAGATAATGGCCAGATAAAAACAACAGATGTTGATAAGCAGTGTGGCAGATGCTTTTGGTGTCCACTCCATATCCTCTTGATCCAGCTCTGAGTTCACCTGTCACTGTGGTAGATGGTTTCTGGCACACTGGTAGCTTCCCCTCTTGAGTTCCTGCTTCTACTCATTTATCTGCCTGAGGGTTTTCTCTACACTGTGAAAGCTTGCGCCATCACAGAGACTCATGACAAAGCATGAGTGAATTAACTACCAGGGATAGAGTCAATCCTCATTCAGAGAAGAGTGTGAATTGGTAGGTAAAATCCTAACCTTCTCATTGTCCAGTGGGACAATTCTGAGGTATGTTCAATATGCTTTCTTAGAATGTCTCTAGTGCGATTGAATTCCAATTGCCTACAAAGATAGCTGGTTTATTTATACTTTTTATTGGTTCTTTTTCTTTTCCTGTCTCTCTTCCATATTACCTCACTTGGCTGCCTGAATTTACATCTTAAATAAACCACCAACACCCAAGTCCTTATGTCAAGGCCAGCTTTGTGGGGAGCCCACAGAAAGACAACCAACTTATCCACTCAATTTTCCAAATAATAACTGCATTATACACTGGGAATATAACACTAAACAATATAGGTATAGTCTCTTTGGAGATGATAGAAAAGAAATTTAACCTCTAATTATAATTACTATCATATTATTCTCATTGGCATTCTTGGCGCCAATTAAGATAAGGAGAATGGCTGATTATATAGGTTTAATTCAGTTAATAAAGGTATTGGCTAGAAAAGAAATTTAACTCTCAGATCACATAATAAAAATAGAAATCAATGCAAAGGAGATTTCTCAAAACCACTCAATTACCTGGAAATTAAACAACTTGCTCCTGAATGACTTTTGGGCAAACAAGAAAATTAAGGCAGAAATCAAAAAATTATTTGAAATAAATGAAAACAGAGACACAGCATACCAAAATTTCTAGGATGCACCAAAAGCAGTGCTAAGAGGAAAGTTTATAGGGCTAAATACCTACCTCAGAAAGTTAGGAAGGTCTCAAATTAATGATCTAATCACACCTAGAGAAACTAGAAAAACACGGACAAACTAACCCCAAAGCTAGTAGAAGAAAATAATTAACTAAAATTAGAGTAGAATTTAATGAAGTTGAGACCCATACAAAGAATCAACAAACTATCCATACAAAGAATCAATGAAATCAAAAGTTGGTTATTTGAAAAAATAAACAAGGTTGATAGACTGCTAGCTAGATTAACAAAGAAAAAGAGAGAAGATCCAAATAAGCATAATCAGAAACGACATAGATGACATTACAATGATTCTCTTCAGAGTCTGTTATGAACACCTCTATGCACAGAAACTAGAAAATCTAGAGAAAAATGAAAAAATTTCTGGAAATGAACAACCTCCCAAGATTTAACCAGGAGGAAATTGAAAACTTAATCAGAACAATATTGAGTTCTGAAATTCAATCAATAATAAAAATTCTGCCAACCAAAAAAAAGCCTCAGACCAGATGGATACACAGCTGAATTCTACAAGATGTACAAAGAAGAGCTGGTACCAATTCTACTGAAACTTTTTCAAAAAATTGAGGAGGAAGAACTCCTTCATAACTCATTCTATGAAGTCAGCATCACCCAGATACTAAAACCTGGCAAAGATACAACAAAGAAAGAAAATGAGAGGCCAATCCCTGATTAACATAGACACAGAAATCCTCAACAAAATACCAGCAAACCCAATCTAGCAGCACATCAAAAAGTTAATTCACCATGATCAAGTAGGCATCATTCCTGGGATGCAAGGTTAGTTCAACATACACAAATCAATAAATTTAATTCACCACATAAACAGAATTGAAGACAAAAACCACATGATCATTTCAATAGACATGAAAAAAGCTTTTAATAAAACCCAAGACCTCCTCATGATAAAAACCCTCAACAAACTGGGCATTGATGGAAAATACCTCAAAATAATAACAGTCATCTATGACAAGCCCACAGCCAATATCATACTAAATGGGCAAGAGCTGGAACCATTCCCTTTGAGAACTAGACTAAGACAAGAGTGCCCAGTCTCACCACTCCTTTTCGAAATAGTTCCAGAAGTGCTAGCCAGAGCAATCAGGCAAGAGAAAGAAATACAGGGCAACCAAATAGGAAAATAAAAATTCAAACTACCTCTCTTCACGGATGATATGATTCTATAACTAGAGAACCTAAAAGATTCTGCCAAAAGGATCCTGGAATAAACTACTTCAGTATAGTTTCAGGATACAAAATCAATGTACAAAAATCAGTAACATTTCTATAAACCAATAATATTCAGGCTGAAAGCCAAATCAAGAACACAATCCCATTTACAATAGCCACATGAAAAAAAATAAAATACCCAAGAATACAGCTAACTAAGGAGGTGAAAAATCTCTACAAAAAGAACCACAGTACTGCTCAGAGGGATCATAGATGGCACAAACAAATGGAAAAACATTCCATGTCCATGGATTAAAATAATCAATATCATTAAAATGGCCATACTGCCCAAATAAATATACAGGTTCAAAGCTATTCCCATCAAACTACCAACATCATTTTTCACAGAATCAGATAAAAGAAACTATTCTAAAATTCATGTGGAACCAAAAAAGAGCCTGAATAGCCAAAGCAATCCTAAACAAAAATAAAAAAAGCTGGAGGCATCTCATTACCCAACTTCAAACTATACTGTAAAACTACAATAACTAAAACAGCATAGTACTGGTACAGAAACAGACACATAAATCAATGTAACAGAATAGTGAACCCAGAAATAAAGCCACACACCTACAGCCATCTAATCTTTGACAAAGTCACCAAAAACAAGTCATGGGGAAAGGACTCCCTACTCAATAAATAGTGCTGGGGTAGCTGGCTAGCCATATGCAGAAGAATGAAACTGGACTCCTGCCTTTTGCCATATATAAAAATTAAATCAAGATGGATTAAAGATTTAAATGTAAGATCTCAAACTATAAGAATCCTAGAAGAAAACCTAGGAAACACCATTCTGGACATTGGCCTTGGCAAAGAATTTATGACTAAGTCCTCAAAAGCAATTAGAACAAAACCAAAAATTGACAAATGGGACCTAATTAAATGAAAGAACTTCTGCACAGCAAAAGAAACTATCAACAGAGTGAACAAACAACCTACAGAATGGGAGAAAATATTCAAAACTATGCATCTGATAAAGGTCTAATATCCAGAATCTATAAAGAACTTAAGCAATTGAACAAGCAAAAAAGAAATAACATCATTAAAAAGTGGTGTCATGGTTACTAGTAGGTGTCGATTTGATTGGGTTGAAAGATACCCAGATGGCTGGTGAAATATTGTTTCTGGGTGTGTCTGTGAGGGTGTTGCTAGAGGAGACTGACATTTGAGTCGGCAGACTGGGAACAGAAGATCCACCCTCAATGAAGTTGAGTACCATCTAATTGGCTGCCAGTGCAGCTAGAACAAAGCAGGTGGAAGAATGTGGGATGGCCTTTCTTGCTGAGACTTCTGGCTTACTTCTTTATCCCGTGCTGGATGCTTCCTTCTGCTCCTCCTGCCCTTAAACATCAGAAGGCAGGTTCTTCAGCCTTTGGACTCTGGGACTTGCACCATGACTTGCCAGGAGTGGCATTGTTGGCTTCCCTGATTTTGAGGCTTTCGGATTCAGACTGAGCCACTACCAGCTTCTCTCTTTCCCGGCTTGCAGATGGCCTATCATGGGACTTCATCTTGTAATTGTGTGAGTCAATTCTCTCTAATAAACTCCTATAGGATATATACATATATATACCCCCCCTCCACACACATATATCCTATTAGCTCTGTCCCTCTGGAGAACCCTGACTGACACAGTGGGCAAAAGATATGAACAGACACTTCTTAAAATAAGACATACAAGCAATCAACAAACATATCCACATCACTAACCATCAGAGAAATGCGATTCAAAACCACAATGAGATTCCATCTCACACAAGTCAGAATGGCTATTATTAAAAAGTCAAAGAGAACAGATGCTCGCAAGGCTACAGAGTAAAGGGAACACTTACACACTGTTGGTGGGAGTGTAAATTACTTCAGCCATTATGGAAAGCAGTTTGGAGATTTCTCAAAAACATTAAAACAGAACTACCATTTGACCCAACAATCCCATTACTGGGTATATATCCAAAAGAAAATAAACTGTCTACCAAAAAGACATATGCACTCATATATTCATCACAGCACTATTAACAATAGCAAAGGTGGCTGTGCGTGTTGGCTTATGCCTGTAATCCCAGCACTTTGGGAGGCCGAGGTGGGCAGATCACCTAAGGTCGGGAGTTGGAGACCAGCTTGACCAACATGGAGAAACCCCGTCTCTACTAAAAATACAAAATTAGCCGGTGTGGTAGCATATGCCTGTAATCCCAGCTACTTGGGAGTCTGAGGCAGGAGAATCGCTTGAACTCGGGAGGCGGAGGTTGCGGTGAGCTGCAATCGTGCCATTGCACTCTAGCCCGGGTGACGGAGCCAGACTCTGTCTCAAAAAATAATAAAATAAAATAAAATAAAATAAAAAATAGCAAAGGCATGGAATCAATCTAGGTACCTATCAACGATGGATTGGATAAAGAAAATTTGGCACATAGGCACCATGGAATATTGTGTAGCTATAAAAAAGAATAAAATCACGTCTCTTGCAGCAACATGGATGCAGCTAGAGGCCATTATCCCAAGCAAATTAATGCAGGAACAGAAAACCAAATACCAGATATTCTCACAAATAAGTGGGAGCTAAACACTGGGTATTGCTGGACATAAAGATGGCAACAATAGACACTAGTGACTACTAGAGGGAGGACAGAAAGAGGGGATCAAGGATTGAAAAACCAAGTAATGGGTACTGTGCTCATTACCTGGGAGATGGGATCAATCATACCCCGAACCTCAGTATCATACAATATACCCATGTAACAAACCTGCACATGTACCCCCTGAATCTAAAATAAAAGTTAAAATTATTCTTTAAAAAAGATGAAAGAGCAGAGGGAATGAATTATCCATTCAGGTTCATAAAAAGAAATGTTCTTTTTTCCAGTGGAAAAATATTTTTAACTATTTATTTATTTATGTGTAGTTATATTTTCCTTTGCCATACATTATAAAATTAGAGTTTGGGTCCCACCCAAAACCTTTGTTCCCAATTCTAAGAATAAATCAAATTTGGGAGTGTTATAAATGAATTCAGGCCCAGCTTGTCTCTTAGCTCATCTTTCTCTCATCCAATTTGTTGTCCATCTGCAGATTCAAATTTCACTGAAAATTATAGCACAAATTCTAATCTTCAGCAAAAGAAATTTAAATAATTCTTGCCCAGTACTTTGGGATTCAGAAGGAGATTATCTCTGACCTCAAGTCTCACAAATCACAACAAGGCTTTGGTCTTAATCCTGAGACTTGGGTGCCCACTGTGAATCATCTTCTAACAACTGAGTTTATTCATCATCCCTGGCCAACAGCTAATGTATCCATTGTTTTCCAACCCAAATGGTTGCGACAAAGAGCAAGTGCATTGGTCCAGGCAACTAAAAAGTCCAGAGGTAATGCTGTTCTTAGGCATCACACAAGCCAAGGTTTACTATATCCTTAGAGTTTTGTCTTCATTTCTCTGCAAATTTCCAGTTCTGCCCATCTTCTTCTGTCAGCCTTTTCCTTAAAATGGTTTCCCTCATGGTATCAAAACTGGCTGCAATAGTGCCAAAGAAGGAAGAGAGCATCTGCATTGCAGCCATCTTAGTAAAAGTCCTGACATTCACTATGGGACTACTAGAGGAAGGACAGCAGGAGGGGGTCAAGGTTTGAAAAACCGAGTAATGGATACTATGTTCACGACCTGGGAGATGGGATCGACCATACCCCAAACGTCGGTATGGGGTAATATGCTTATTGTCTTTCATTCTGTTTCTTTAGCTTTTTGTCTTAGTTATCTGCCTTGTTACTCATGCTATTTAGCACTGGATCTTATCTTGTTCTTTCCAACCCTCTGCTAAGGATCTGGTCCTGGGTCTATTGGCTAACTTTCCTAAAGGCAACTGTCTGGGCTTTTGACCATCAAACATCACTTGATTTCCTCTTGACTCTGCCCCACAAATCTCCCAGGATGCCCTCTTGAAGCCCCAGTGCTTCCATTTTCTTTTACCATACTGTTTTGTCTACCCTGACTTGCTTGTCGAATCGATACCATCAGTCCATGTGGCTAAGTCTGTTCACAGGCCAAGCATCAGTTCTAACCCCAGCTCCACACTCTCTATTCCACCTGTCAGTTTGTCAGGTGCTGTTGGGCCAAACCCAAGGTATTTTTTTTTTTTTAATTCTCGAAACTATACATTTAGAAAGAGGTAAAAATCTAATGAAAAGATAAAGAAAGCTACTCAAAATAATTTACAGATATTATTTTGAAAAATGCTGATTTAGATTTTTTTCTGGAAAGAACAATAGGAATTATACAGTGGTCTAAGAAAAGTAATTTTATTTACTAGTGACATTTTGAGCAAAGTATTTTCAAATAAATATGTTTAAGGTGGTAAAACTAGAATGCTACTGAATAACCTTTCAGATTCATAACAAATAGAACAGGGTTTAGAATAGGTTTAAGTCATTTGCACATAGCTCATCTGTTTATTCAAGTCCATACTTCTAAAGTGTTTGAGAACAGCTTGTTCCTTTTTTATCATCTTAAACATCTCATCTGCAGACTCACGTATAACATTAAGCTGCTTTAAAATATTTTCACCCCCTTTTAAATGGTTCAAAAATAAATTTTACCCCATGTCCCATCTGGCTTAGTATAAATTATGAATTGGCCGAAGCCAAAATTATATATTTTACGGACCAGGAACTAGCCTTTGAAGCAGAATTATGTGAGTGGCTGAGGTACGCTAAGCAGTCAGTCTCCCATTCCTGAAGATTGTGTCTCCCCATAGAGGTATTTCCTCCTAAAATGTTGCTCTCTTACATCTTTTATTAAAAGTAAAAAGGCCCAAAATAAAAACTCCTCCAGACTCAAAAATAATGTACTATAGTGACTGGCTCTTTCAAAACAGTGCAATCCTTCCATTTGAGGTCCTCCATGTTGCTCACATTAGTGATTGATAAAGTGCTAATTAAACTAATTTGGTGCTTGTGATTACACATTTATTTAAGTTCCTTCTTAACCTGATATATCTGTATCAAGAACAAAATATGACCTTTTTCAGAAAAAAAAAAGAGAAATAGAATTTTACGTCCCCCCAATCTTGAAGATTTTCAAATGCAACCATACATTTGAAAGATTTTCAAAGGTGTTCCTAAAAATTATTTTACTGTTGAAATGTGCATATAAAAGTTTTCTATTGGCTCCCAAAGATAAAATCTGTGTCTTTTAAAAATAATGTACTAGGCTGTGCATGGTGGCTCACGCCTGTAATCCCAGCACTTTGGGAGGCCAAGGCAGGCGGATCACTCAAGGCCAGGAGTTTCAGCACTCAGTCCCTTAGAGCTTCTCATTATCTCCCTGATATCAAAACCAAAAATCCATTGCTACTTATATTAACAGTGGTTTTCTTTTGGCATATAAGTATTTTTCTATATTCGTGGTTTTTGTTTGGCTTGTTTCACTTTGTTTTGTTTCGGTTTTAACAGAAGAGCCTTACTCTGTTGCCGAAGCTGTAGTACAGTGGTACAATTATAGCTCACTGCAGTCCTGAACTTCTGGGCTCAAGTAATCCTCCTGCCTCAGCCTCTGGAGTAGCTGGGATTACAGGAGTTCGCGACTAGCCTGGCCCAGACCCAGGAGTTTGAAACCAGCCTCGCCAACATGGCAAAATCCTGTGTCTACTTATGCCTCTGTCTCTGGAGTAGCTGGGATTACAGGCATGTGCCATGTTGCCCAGACTGGTCTTGAACTCCTGGGCTCAAGTGATCTGCCCTCCCCGGCCTCCCAAAGTGCTGGGATTACAGGTGTGAGCCACTGCGCCAAGCTGACGTGGTTATTTTCTAAGAAAATAAAATATTTCATTGTTCAGCAAAGAAGCCTTTTATGCTTCCCCATTTTCACTCTTAAGAGGAAATATTAATGTGATACAGGACAGGTGAGCCCCAAAATTGGGACTTAGCCCAAGAGAGTTCTTGGCATACCCAGGAAAGGATTCCAGGATGAGGCAGTGGGTAGACAGCAATCTTTTATTGAATGGTTCTGCTCCTTGTGGAGCAGGGCTAACTCACAGGCAGTGTGCCCAGAGTTGGCAATGTATGGGCTGCTGGCAACTGTGCTTATATCCACTTATACCCACTTTTAATTATGTGCAAATTAAGGGGCAGGTTAGTGCAATTTGAGAGGTGGGTTATTGAGAACTTTCTAGGAAAGGGGAGTAACTTCCAGGTTGTTGCCATGGCATTTGTAAACTGTCATGGTGCTGGTCTTATGCTAATGAGCTATAAGGGCCACTAGGGATCATTTTCATTACCATCTACTGGTTTCTGTTGGTTTCTTTACTTTATCCTGTCTGGACCAGATCCTGTTTTGGTCAGCAGGGTTGTGACCAGAATACAAGTCCTCCTGCTCTCCTACCTCTAATGCATTTACTGTTATCATAGCATGAAACTGAACAGGATACAGAATTACCTCGTGTTTCTTCAACTTTCAATATATGTTTTAAGTGTTCGCAATGACAGTTAAAGCAAATATTGAAAAATATACATGTCAACCTTTTTAGGAGTTTTAAAGTTACTACTTAGCAATGCAGTGTCACCTCCTCCAAGAAGTCCTGGTTGGACATCGGCTCTCTTAATAGGTGATTTACTGCTGCGCTTTCATAATACCTTGGACGTATCTGTCAGTGTATTTATCACACTATGTTAGTACTGAATATACAAATCATTAAGATAATAATAATAACATAGTGTGGGAGATAGGCATATGAACATGAAAAAATGGGGAAGCATAAAAAGCTTGTTTGCCGAACAATGAAATATTTTATTTTCTTAGAAATGAACAATATGTTCATATGCCTATCTCCCACCTCGGTTGTAAGAGAAGGATTTTTACTGATACCTGTGCCAGTGAGGTACTATTAGTACTGAATATACAAATCATTAAGATAGGATTCTGTACTCTGGGACATCCCAGCCTTATGATCTGGCTTCTGGGCGCTCCCCACTACCCACAGAGATTGCAAATCAACAAGCTTAGGATAGAAGAGGCTGGTACATATGTCGTCTTTGACTCACGTAATATTTTAGAAAAATTTCAGCCAATATTTAAAATGTGAGTGATTTCAACAAATCTCAGGATTTTAGCCATTCTTGAGAAATCTGAAGATCTGGCAGTACTTGGCCTGGTTTCTCATGTGGCATTAGTAAACCGCCACTAAGAAACAGTTATTCTTTTGCACAGGGCATGTGCTTCCCAGGTTATCTCAGTCCCTAGTGCTCCTCATTATCCCCTTGACATCAAAACCAATAATCCATTGCTATTTATATTAGCAGTGCTTTTCTTTTGGTATATAAATATTTTTCTATATTCATGGCTTTTGTTTGGTTTGTTTCGCTTTGTTTTGTCTGTAAGAGACAGGGTTTTACTCTGTTGCCCAAGCTGCAGCACAGTAGTACAATTATAGCTCACTGCTGCCTTGAACTCCTGGGCTCAAGTAATCCTCTTGCCTCAGCCTCCCAAGTAGCTGGGATTATAGGCACGGGCCACCACCTAGCTAACTTATTTATTTATTTTTTTGTGGGGACAGATTCTCACTTTGTTCCCCAGGCTGGTCTCAAACTCCTGGGTTCAAGTGATCCTCCCTCCTTGGCCTCCCAAAGTGCTAGGATTACAGGCATGAGACACCATGCCAAGCCTATTCATGTTTTTTAATTAAAAAAAAAAAAAGAGCAAGAGAACCATGGGATTTTAAAAAATATACCAACCTGCTTTAATTATTTGCTTACCTGAACTTATTTCAATAGCTTTCTGATTAATTCATTCAATACACTCAGGTGTGTGCTCCAGGCTTTACCTGGTCTCCCCACCTCTATTTCTCCCCTATTCTAACCCATCCTATATACCCTTATGGTATCATCACTATTTTCTAACACCTATAATACTAATGGCAGTAATAGTAGTAGTAGTAGCAATAGCAATAGCAGCAGTAACAACAGCAGCAATAGTTAATATCTACTGAATGCTAAGGATAACTAGCTGTTCTGCAGTGTCCTGTGTACATTACGTGCAGTAACATTTAATTCTTATGTCAACAGGTCAAGTAGGTAAGATTAATTATTACAGACTCTGAATGAACTCTGACCAATTCCATGCAGACACAACTCAACAGCACCTTGCTTCCTGCCTGCATCACACATTTCACTTCTGCTCAGTGCTTCTCTGTTGTTGCTGGTCATGTGGACCCCAACCAATTATGTGGTGCAACTCAGAAGAGCAGAGAATTCATGCCCCGCCAGACAAAGCTTTGACCATTAGGTGATGGGAGTCAGGGGCTAAATTCCTCCCCTCAGAAGTGAGAAAAATCCTTTATAACTAACATCAAGTGGCAGCCAAGTGAATAACACGTCCTCACATTGCACGTCCTTCTCTTCCTGTCCCACTCCCCTCACTCTTGCTCCTGAGGACTGCACTCCCTATGAAGTGCCAGTGCATGCACATTTGCCTCAGGCTCTGCTTCCTGGGAAACCCACACTGACCTTCTTCCCCCGCTTTTTTGCTTACATTATTTATATTGCCTTCAAAGACCACCTCATCATATTACTCATTTTTTAGCTGCAAGAGATAAAAAAACTAACTCTGCCGAGACCAGCTCAGTCGTGGAGACCCTAACCCAGCAGTGCTAAAGAAATTAAAGACACACACACAGAAATATAGGATGTGGAGTGGGAAATCAGGGGTCTCACAACCTTCAGAGCTGAGAGCCCTGAACAGAGTTTTACCCACATATTTATTGACAGCAAGCCAGTGATAAGCATTGTTTCTGTAGATTATAGATTTACTAAAAGAATTCCTTATGGGAAACAAAGGGATGGGCCAAAATAAAGGGATGGGCTCTGGCTAGTTATCTGCAGCAGGAACATGTCCTTAAGGCACAGATGGCTCATGCTACTGTTTGTGGTTCAGGAACACCTTTAAACGGTTTTCTGCCCTGGGTGGGCCAGGTGTTTCTTGCCCTCATTCTGGTAAACCCACAACCTTCAGCATGGGTATCACGGCCATCACGAACATATAACAGTGCTGCAGAGATTTTGTTTATGGCCAGTTTTGGGGCCAGTTTATGGCTAGATTTGGCGGCCTATCCACAGCAGAACTCAAGCTAAGTTAGTCAAAGAAATTGCAAGGGTTCTTGAATATTTCCCTTGGCAGAGGGAGGAAAGGGCTACAATTGGGCCTTAGGAAAAGTGAAAGCAGCGCTCTCTTGCACTTTGTCTCTCATTTTCATTTCCATTCTCATCTCTGCTCTTACGGATATATCAGCTTCATTTTCTCTGCAGTAGTCCAGCGTCTTCCCTGTGTTGTAGGACATGGTAGACGAGAGTTCCCAGCACGTATTTCCCATGGCTCCCATACATTGAGAGTTGACCACTTCTATTCCTTAAAATTCAGATTGAGAATTCCCAAGAGCAGGTTCTACCTGATCTGGTTTAGGATGGGTCAGCGAGGAGTCGGGGAAGGACAGTCACAGAGGACTGATATGGCCTCAAGGGCTTACTCCCAGCTGAATCTTTATGGGACAGGACTCTACCAGATTCAAGGCCTGTCAATGCCCAACCTGTGGTACTTCCTGCATAAACCTCCTCTGATCCTGAAAGTCATCATGTGGTAATTAAAAGAGCATGGGCCACCATGTATTCATCACAAAATGCCAACTCTGAATTCTTCCCAGGCATACCATTCTGAGCCTCAGTTTTCTCATCTATGAGGCAGGTAAAATAATGCCTACCATGTGACAGAAGAAATGATGTTTAATGTGCCTAACGTGTAATAGGTATTCAATAAATTCCACCAACCAAAATTAACATCTATCTCTCCAGGTGCAATGGCTCATGCCTGTAGTCCCAGCAACTCAGGAGGATCGCTTGACCCAGGAGTTGGAGGCTGCAGTGAGCTATGATCATACCACTGCACTCTAGCTTGGGCAACAAAGTGAGATCCTATCTCTTAAAAAAAAATAAAAGGTAACATCTCCCTTGAGCATTTATACAACATAGCAAATATTTGTATCATTTTATCTCTTTGTCACCATTTTTTGTGTATATTTTATCTCCCCTATTTGATCAAATATTCCCTAAAGACAAGGAATGTCTTATTTCTCTTCTTAGCTCTCGTAACCTTGGTATATTTTCCAGCACATTGGAGGTGAAGTATAAATATTTATTAAAAGAGTAATTCAACTGTACTCTATAAAGTGATCTGGTTTTTATTTGCAGATTATTACAACTTTTTGAAAATGATTAGTTCTTCCTCAGATTCAAGTAAATCTTTTCTTAACTTTGAATGAGAAAAACTTTTTCTTCCTTTCTCAAAATTTACTAAATGCGTTCTGTGTAGCAAGTACTGTTAGAAGTACTAATAATTGAAAAATGGAATCAACTCTCTCTGCCCTTAAAGAGTTGAATATTAACTTGTTGACGTAGTCATTTAATTTTCAGATGTATTTTTCTATATAGTTAATTCCACATGTTCTTCATATGCTGAAAAAATAAACATCTTTAAAATTGGCTTCCTTTCTATTCCATGTTGCCTTTAGTTCCACACCCATGATGCAAGTGGAAACTGTTCATGTGTATTCGATTACATGAAAATGGCTTGTATATTTTCTTCTATTAATTACAGTGATTTTAAAATTCATAAACTATTTCCTTCTCCACCCCATTTGCCATATGCACACCATATTAGTTACACATCTTTGGCTTAACACAGCTAGAACACAGAAATATTTACTATATGTAAATAAAAGGCTTTAACCACATACATTTTCTGGGTTTTACATATAAAACTTATTATTTCTCAACTATATTTCTCAATTGCCTATACAAACAATGTAAATAACTCATTTTAAGTAAAGAATGACAAAGTTAAGTCTTTAGTCAAAATAAAAAAAAAAGTCATTCTGTTACAGCCTGTTTCACTCTTGAAGGCTTAAACCATGTTTTCTCTGACTATTGTAATGGGTTTGCCACAATTTTATCAGTCCTATGTAATTGCAGGTTCTAGATGAAATAAAGAACCCCACCCACTCTGGACACCTTTAGCCAAATGAGCCTCACTTTGCCCACCCCAATGTGTGCTCAAAGCTAGGAACTCCAAGCTGGTCTCCCTTTTCTCTCCTTTCTTTTATCAGGAAACCCCTTTATCATTTGTGATGAACACTACAAATTCAAACATCTGGCTATGGACATTATTGGCATCCCTGGAGCTCACTCAATTGCAAAGCATTCCACATAGAAATACGTACCTGTAGAGCTTCAAGAAGCCTTGGAGATCAAGAAGTACTGGACCTTCATTTTGCAGATGAAGAAAAAGCTCTATCAAAGTGAACACTGAATTGAATTTGGTTGACTTGCTGAAGTGAACATACAAGTTGGTAAAGGAGTCTGCATGAATGATTACATAGCCTGTTTTAGGAGAAGGACCTACTGACCTCTAAATGCTAGCTATACAGTCATCCCTTGGTATCCTGAGGGACTGGTTCCAAGACTCTTCCTTGAATGCCAAAGTTCACAGATGCTCACATCCCTTATAAAAATGGTGTAGTATTTGTATATAACCTGTGCAAGTGGGGTCTTGGTCAAAACATATCTTGGGGTCTTGGTCCCACCCCACTGCAAGTGTTCTCATGGAGGTTCACACCCAAGCAGACCTGCTTTTCCAGACAGTGTGCAAAGATTCATATTCTTTCTTTTCCACCATCAGAACACCTGTATTTCCTAGTCTTCCCAGCCAAATTGGTTAAACCAATCCATCCTTCATTGTACATCATGGATTTAATCCTTGTAGGATAGTTTGCTTGTTAAAAGAGGCATTTTTATTAGCCCTGAAAAATGATTAATGATAGCACCAGGACAGGATTGGAGTGGGGCTTAGCGGCAGCTTTAAAACTTCTGTAAAATGAATTTCAGCTGGTGGATGCTTCAGAATTTTTATGTAAGAAAGCTCAGCTGACTCATCCTGTTTAGAAGTGGGTATTGTGGGGCTTTTGGTGAAGCTGCATTTGCCTAGCAAACCCATTGCTTTTTCATAGATTTTCTAGGAAATTACTTGGAGTGGCTTTGGGGACAATGAGAGAAATCAAGACAAGTTGTCCCTTGACACATCAACAGATTATGCTACTTCTCAAAATGGATAGTATTTGGTCTAAAGAGTATTTGGTCTAAGGAGCTGATCCAAAATCTTTTTTCACTTTTTTACAAATTCCTGCCTTCCCAGTCCTGGTCACATTTGTCTTAATTTTTTCATGAAGTAAAAAACAATCAACATAAACCATGAGTATTGCCCTAAAAACACTCTATACACTTCTAAAAGCAGTTTTAGCAGAAGTAGAAAACAGAGCCAGTTTATGCAGAGCTGGCTTAACCTTTTTCCATTTTAAGAATGATGTGAAATAGAATTTAACATTAAACATACACGTGTTTTGCACACTTTGGAAGGAGGGAGTGTGAAAAGCACTGCTGAATGTATCAGACTGATAGCAGTCCGAGATTCTGCCTGATTCCATCCTGACATACAGCTTATAGCGTCAGGTAGTAGGAGAAGAGATTTTGGGGGAGTGGCTCAATCCACATTTTAGCATAGATAGTCATCCACCTCAAAATAGCCAAACAGTCAGTCACTGTCACTGTCACCAGGCCTCAGATAACTGGAGGAAGTTGTAAATTTCTTGAAGCCCATGCTGAATCTCATTCGTATTGTTTTTTCCCTCCACCTCTCATTGAGATCCAAGCACAAAATAGGTGCTTAATAAATGTTTCCTAAATGGAACAATAAAATACAGTTCTCAACTTAGTTTATTATCGACTCTTCCAAAAACATATCATAGCAGGCAAGCTATTTCTCTAATCCATATTGTCTCAATTGGCCCAATTATTATAAAACATTATCTTTTCATTTATATATATATATGTTCTTTTTGTCCTTTATTAAATATATAATTTTCTTAATTTCCCACAATTATTTTTCACTAACACAAAAAGGAATAAAAAATGAAAGAATAAAAGAAGTGAAAATTATGATAACCAAAGAAGGAAAATGCTTACATATGCATTTTAGAAAAAATATGCCACTTATAGTTTCATATTTAAGCTTTTTCATGACGTTTCTGAAGACTTATGTACATTTTTCCATATTTTATTAAAACAAATAATATATGCTAGATTTCCATGGTTAATAAACCAGCAACTTAAAATAGTTATTAAGCCCTCTCTGTAGCTCCATTGCCCAGAGACACTATGGATAATCTTGTAAAAACAGCTTGTTCACCATAGCTTGTAAGCATGATCTGATAATATTGCACCTGCCTGGCCTTGGGTCCAGATTTCAAGTTTGCACTCAAAGCTTCCTGGCAGAAGAAAAAAGCTAACACATGTCTGGCTTTACTACAACATGCTCTCCCCACTTTGGGCTGCCACTCTGACTTCTGTTTCTCCCTTAATTCTTAAGTCCTTTTCAAAGCCTTTTTTACTCCATCTCTCTCTCTCTCTCTTTTTTTTTTCTTGAGACGCAGTCACCAGGCTGGAGTGCAGTGGCATGATCTCGGCTCGCTGCAACCTCTACCTCCTGGGTTCAAGTGATTCTCCTGCCTCAGCCTCCTGAGTATCTGGGATTACAGGTGCACGCCATTATGCCCAGCTAATTTTTCTATTTTTAATAGAGACGGGATTTCACCATGTTGGCCAAGATGGTCTCGATCTCTTGACCTCGTGATCCACTCGCCTTGGCCTCCCAAAGTGTTGGGGTTACAGGCGTGAGCCACCATGCCCGGCCTTTCTCCCCATCTCTTAATGCTTCATTTCTGTAGGTCTAGGTTGGGTATATTCTTCCCATGGTCTAGCTGTTGGCATAGAGAATCATAGCAGTTGAGGATTCTCACTCCTCTACCTAAGTAAGTTAGCAAGTATCTTGATGATCTTCATCCCCTTTGTGGCCACGGTAATACCCTGACCATCATCCTTCCATACACCTAGAAAAACTAGCTTTCTCCAAAATTCACTAACCTTTCTATGATTGCAAAGCTTAAGAGTTAGAAGCATTAAGTCTGGAGTTAGACTGTCAGGTTCAAATCCTAACTCTACCTCTTACCTGCTGTATGACCTTGGACAAATTAGCCTTCTAAGCCTTTGTTCCTCACTTGTATCATGGAGATGATGATAAAAAAATAATATTGATGTTAAAGGTTGTTATGAGGATTAAATGAGACAATATATATAAAGCACCTGGACAATAGTGTACAAAATAAGTTCTTAATAAAGCTATGACTGTTACCATTACCTTTTCACCTCGCATTTTTTAGGGTATGTATTGAGAGTTACAGATTCACAAGATTCACAAATGCAAGAAACTTGAAAATCAACTGGTCCAGGGTTAAAAATACTCAAATGCCTACAGGGCCAAGACAGGCAATATGATTGATATTGAGAGGTGACAGTGTGCTGGCAGCCCTCACAGCCCTCACTCACTCTCGGCACCTCCTCTGCCTGAGTGCCCACTCTGGCGGCACTTGAGGAGCCCTTCAGCCTGCCACTGCACTGTGGGAGCCCCTTCCTGGGCTGGCCGAGGCTAGAGCCAGCTCCCTCAGCTTGCGGGGAGGTGTGGAGGGAGAGGTGTGGGCAGGACCCAGGGCTGCGCGCGGTGCTTGTGGGCCAGCGCGAGTTCTGGGTGGGCGTGGGCTCGGCGGGCCCCGCTGGCCCCAGGCAGTGAGGGGCTTAGCACCTGGGCCAGCAGCTGCTGTGCTCGATTTCTCACCAGGCCTTAGCTGCTTCCCTGTAGGGCAGGGCGTGGGACCAGCAGCCCGCCATGCCTAAGCCTCCTCCCCCACTGCCGTGGGCTCCTGCGCAGCCCAAGTCTCCCCGACGAGTGCCGCCCCCTGCTCCACGGTGCCCAGTCCCATCGACCGCACAAGGGCTGAGGAGTGTGGGCACACAGCACAGGACTGGCAGGCAGCTCCATCTGCGGCCCCGGTGTGAGATCCACTGGGTGAAGCCAGCTGGGCTTCTGAGTCTGGTGGGGACTTGGAGAACCTTTATGTCTAGCCAAGGGATTGTAAATACACCAATCAGCACTCTGTGTCTAGCTCAAGGTTTGTAAATACACCCATCAGCACCCTGTATCTAGCTCAAGGTTTGTAAACACACCAATCAGCACCCTGTGTCTAGCTCAGGGTTTGCGGATGGACCAATCAGCACTCTGTATCTAGCTAATCTGGTGGGGACTTGGAGAATCTTTATGTCTAGCTAAGGGATTGTGAATACACCAATCAGCACTCTGTATCTAGCTCAAGGTTTGTAAATGCACCAATCACCGCTCTGTGTCTAGATGATCTGGTGGGGACTTGGAGAATCTTTATGTCTAGCTAACGGATTGTGAATACACCAACTGGCACTCTGTATCTAGCTCAAGGTTTGTAAATGCACCAATCAGCACTCTGTGTCTAGCCCAAGGTTTGTAAATACACCAATCGACACTCTGTATCTAGCTAATCTAGTGGGGACGTGGAGAACTTTTGTGTCTAGCTCAGGGATTGTAAACGCACCAATCAGCACCCTGTCAAAATGGACCAATCAGCTCTCTGTAAAACAGACCAATCAGCTGTCTGTAAAATGGACCAATTAGCAGTATATGGGTGGGGCCAGATAAGAGAATAAAACGAGGCTGCCCCGGCCAGCAGTGGCAACCTGCTCGGGTCCCCTTCCACACTGTGGAAGCTTTGTTCTTTCGCTCTTTGCAATAAATCTTGCTGCTGCTCACTCTTTGGGTCCATACTGCCTTTATGAGCTGTAACACTCACCGCGAAGGTCTGCAACTTCATTCCTGAAGCCAGCGAGACCACGAACCCATTGGGAGGAACGAACAACTCCAGACGTGCCGCCTTAAGAGCTGTAACACTCACCACGAAGGTCTGCAGCTTCACTCCTGGGCTTGCGAGACCATGAACCCACCGGAAGGAAGAAACTCCGAACACATCCGAACATCAGAAGGAACAAACTCCGGACACGCTGCCTTTAAGAACTGTGACACTCACCACGAGGGTCCGCGGCTTTATTCTTGAAGTCAGTGAGACCAAGAACCCACCAATTCTGGACATAATATGATTGAAACAAACTCGCAAGTTGAAGGACAGTAGGGAGAACTGTGGTCACCTGGCTAGACAGCACTCTAGCTGCTACTCAAGGTGAAGCGCATTGCTGTCATATGAGATCAGGAGCCTGGTATTACCAGATTTTCCAGTTTTTCAAGAGAAGCTAGAAATCCAGATTTGTATGTTATTCCAGTGTATAAATGTCGACAGTCAATTCAAACTCCTATAAAATGCTTTATTGGTTTAAAAAAATGAAGCATGGCAGCTTTTACTTTACAGTCTCTAATCTAATTGCATCTCATTTGAAAAGTGCGAAAATAGAATTACCAAAAAAGTGCTATATGCCCAAGGGTGCACACAACTACCTAATGGCAAAACTGATAAAACTCACATCTCCCAAGTCTGACTCCAGGGACCTCTTATGTCCTTCCCTATGGTGCTTTTTCGCCCTTCACATCTGTTTCTAATCTGCAACTAAATGCTGTTATTTTTGTACTCTCCACTCCATTCTCATGGTCATCACACTCACTGGGTTGCAGTTGTATCATAAACTTCTCACTGGAATTTCTGTCAATCCGATTCACCTTGGTTTGTTTGCTAAGATCAGACTAACCTTCTTGACATTAACCCTCACACCCCTGCCCTAAATTCTTAAAGAATTCCTTATCACTACTGCATCAGTGCCAAGTACCCTGGACTGTCATTCAGTCATGTGGCCTCAAGTTGGTTTCCTTTTGCTTTCCTCAGGCCTCTGCGGCTGGCTGGTATCCTGGCTGCTCCTTGAACAAGCTGGGTCACATTAACTCAGCATTTCCTAAAGTAAGATAAAAACAATAGGAGCGTATAATAAAACAAGAACAAAGAAACATACGTTGGTTGTGTTCCATGCCAATGCATTCTTCTTAAAGTATATAAAAGATAAAGAGAAAAACTTTAAGAAAAACACATAAAGACAGATGACCTGCAAAATAATGATAATTAGACTCATTACCCACAACAGAAGCTAAATAACAATGCAGTCATATTTCGAATGTTTATGGAAAATCTTGAATTTTAGACAAAAGCTGAAGTATTTCTTCCAAGCCTAGAAGAAAATACTTTTTTTTTTTTTTTTTTTTGAGACGGAGTCTCGCTCATTGCCCATGCTGGAGTGCAGTGGCTTGATCTCGCCTCACTGCAAGTTCCGCCTCGGAGTTTCAAGTGATTCTCCTGCCTCAGCCTCCTAAGTAGCTGGGACTACAGGCACGCACCACCATGCCCAGCTAATTTTTGTATTTTTAGTAGAGATGGGGTTTCACCATATTGGCCAGGCTGGTCACGAACTCCTGACTTCAAGTGATCTGCCCGTCTTGGCCTCCCAAAGTGCTGGGATTACAGGCATGAGCCACTGCATCCGGCCAAAAAAATACTTTTTAGCCTCACAAAAGATCAGTGTGCCACTCACAGATCTTCCCTAAAACAATTTTAAAATTATTTCTATTACAGCAGGACAAATTACCACAAATTTAACATCTTAAAACAACACGTATTTATTATCTCACAGTTTCTTTTGGTCAGGAGTTCAGATGTATCTTAGCTGGGGTTTCTGCTTCAGGGTTTCTCACAGGCTATAATCAAGGCGATGGGCAAGGTGCATATCATCCAAAGGCTCAGCCAGAAAGTGAGGTCACACAAGTGTTGGCAGGATTTGGTTTTTCTATGTTTTGAACCGAGAATCTTAGTTCCTTGTTGGCTGCCAGCCATAAGCTACCCTCAGTCCCTTATCACATGGACTTCTCCATAGGATCACTCACAACATAGCAGTATCCTTCATAAAAGCCAGCAAGGGAGTCTACTAGCTAACCAGAAGTTACTGTCTCTTGCAACCTAGTCATGAAAATGACAATCCATAACCTTTGGTATGTTCTATTGGTTAGAACCAGACCAGCCCACACTCAACACAAGGGAATTACGTGAGGGCATAAGGACTGGAGGTCAGCTTAAAGTCAGTCCACCAAACCAGAGCAAGAGAAAAACCCAGAAAAAAAGACACGGATTATAAGAAAAATGGTTTTTATGTAATCTGTTTGATATTTGGTGCCATAGGTGGTTATACTTCTTTTTATAAGTCTCTCTGCACCTCCTAAGCTACTTTTTACTTATTTTTGCCATTATTATGTGAAAAATCACATTATTAGTGCACTCCAACTTGGATGAGCAAAGCATTAAGGACTTAGGTGTTGTGACAGGTGCTCCTTTCACAGTTCTCACATACTTAGATGGTACTTCAGTGTGTTTAAATGAGAAAGAAAGGGAATTTATGGCTCAGGGTTACAAAAAGGTACTGAATTGAAATAAGCTTGATGCTCTTAAGGAAAAATGCACAAGGCATATGCACGAGAATCAGCACAGGCAACGGCTTCTTCCATGGGAGCGGGGTGGGGAAGAAGGAATGGAAGATTTACTTCCTGTCTGGTCCCACTGAAACTGCAGGAAGGGAGGCAGTTTTTCCACTGGTGTTTGGCTGGAGTAGGGCAGGTATTGCCAAAAGGCTTTTCTGCTGTTAGGTCATTCTTTTCCCAATCCTCCAGCAATGGGAATAGGCTTTCTTGGAGCTTTTTGTCTTAGGCCTACTGGCAGCTCCAGTTTGCAGACAACAACTTCTCAAGATGATGTGAAAGGCAATCAAGAAACCTAAGCAACTCACCATCATGTCATCCTTCAATTTTCAAGGTCCCTAGACCATCTGCCTTATTCTTTCTACATTTTTGAATCTTCCTATGCCTGTTTGTTGTATTGTCTCTAAGGTTTTTCGGTTCTAGGATGGAGAACCTGGGAAGAATGGGGCTACCCCATGTTGGCTGGAACATGATCCATATTTTTAACTAAGTGTAACAAACTAATTTTAAAAGAACACATTTGAGATAATTAAAGGAATTTGAGTGTCAACTAAGGATAAGATGATAGAGGAATTATTTTTAATTTGATTTAATTTGGTTTGGTGTGATAATGGTATTGTGATTATATAATGCCTTTAAATACAGATTTTTAAAAATCATTTTTCTTTATTCTTTGGAGATGTTTCCTGAAGTATTTTAGGTGAAATTACTTGACATCAGGAATTTCCTATAAACTATATCTGCAAAAATGTTTCTAAAAATTAGAACAGGAGAGAGAAAGGGGAAAAAAGAAAACAGAGGCCAAGCGCAGCGGCTCATGCCTGTAATCCCAGCACTTTGGCAGGCTGTGGTGGTAGGATCATGTAAGCCCAAAAGTTTGAGACAAGCCTAGGCAGGATGGAGCAACCCTGCCTCTACAAAAATAAAAACTTAAAAATTAGCTGAGAATGGTGGTGCATGCCTGTAGTCCCAGCTACTTGGGAGGCTGAAGTGGGAGAATCCCTTGAGCCCAGGAATTCCAGGCAGCAGTGAGGTATGAGGGCACCAGTGCACTCCAGCCTAGGTCAAAGCAAGACTCTGTCTCAAAAATAAAAAGGAAAAAAGAATGAAAAAAGGGAGAAGACAGATACAACAAGCAAGAAGCAAGTGTGTTGAGACGCTGGTAACTGTTGAATCTGGCTGATGGCTAAATGGGAGTCATTACACTATTTTTTCTACTTTTGGGTATGGCTAAAAATTGTTATAACAAAAAGTTTTGTTAATTTAAAAATCACTCTAGTAATATTATGAAGAAAAGATTGGAAAGGACAATCTAAGAATTGGGGATACCAGTCAGAGGCAACTTTAGTAAACCCACAAGACGTAATGGTCGTTTTGACTAGGATGATGGCAGCTGAGAGGGAAAGAAGACAAAAGAGTGAGCAAAAGATCTGGGAATTCATGACAATGGTTTGGGAAAAATATTTGAAGGAGGATTAAGTATCAAGTATGACTGACAGGTATCTGGTTTGTGTTACCTGTGACAGGAAAGGTGGGAGAAGATACAATTTTGGTGCAGATAGGTGAGTAGGGGGGAATTTGGCTTTGAATATGAGAAACAACCAAGTGGAGTGATTTAGGCAGCATGCAATATAAAATCTTAAGCTTAGGAACAAGGTCTAGATTGGAAGTGGTACAGCATTGGAAGTTGTTACATAAATGTTATATGAAACCATAAGAATGGGTAGGAGAGTTTAACATAAAGAGAAAAAAAGGGCTTAGGACAGAGCCCTTGAGAATCTGCAAATCAGAAAAAGGTAATTTTTCTTAAAAGTGGCCAAGCCACAGGAGAGCCTAGCATCCAGTTCTTAGTTTCTAAATGCCATTTGTTCATCAGTTAATTAATTAGATGTGATTAGTTAATAAGTAGGGTGTGCCCTTAATCCAATCTGACATACTCTTATAAGAAGAGAAAGGCCCAGGCGTGGTGGCTCACACCTGTTATCCTAGCACTTTGAAAGGTCAAGGCAGGCCGATCACTTGAGGTCAGGAGTTCGAGACCAGCCTGGCCAACATGGCGAAACCCTGTCTCTATTAAAAATACAAAAATCAGCTGGGCATGGTAGCACCCACCTGTAATCCCAGCTACTCAGGAGGCTGAGGCAGGAGAATCACTCTAACCCTAGCAGGCGGAGGTTGCAGTGAGCCGAGATCATGCCACTGCACTCCAAACTGGGCGACAGAGCAAGACTCTGTCTCAAAAAAGAGAAAGAGAATATCCACTCATAGGAGAAATCCTGCATAGGCTCTCAGAGCTGGAACGAGACAGTGAACAGGCATACGAGCCACCAGACACAGAGTGCGATGCCTGGCAGGGAAAATGTTCATTGGCAACATTTAGACAAGTTGATTAAGTGAATATATGAAGGACTATAAGAGCCAAGTTTCTCACTCGCAGAAAGGGGAATTAAAACAAAGGAAAAAAGACAACTAGAATTAATTCTGTGATGAACAGGAACTGGAGATATTGACAATAAACTTATGCATTTCAATAAATATAGATATAGAAATAAACATAGGTGTGTGTGTGTACATACGCATACATCTATTCCTTAGCTTAGTTTTCTGAGAGACAGCAGGAGTATCTAGTGCCGAGATCTTGTTTCTAAATATTATTCGCTACTAAAAGGAAGCAGAAACTTCCTGGAAAAAATGGCAGATTCCAGGGCTGGAGGAAGGAAAGTACAAAATGATCAATTTTTGTGCTGAAAAAGTAATAGAACGTGTCAAAATCACACAGACATCAACTTGCAGGGGTTCTCATTGGCCAAACTGGAGGAACTCTGAACATTAAAATAAATAATGATATTAAGAAATTATAGTTTATGGAATAAAATAGAAAATATGAACCCTAAGAGATATAAGTAAATGAATAAATTGAAAGTTTAATGAAGAGCAAGATATTTACATAGTCTTAAAGAACTCCCAACAAAATACTTCTAAAATTATACAGTGAAAAAGAGTAACTTTACAGTGAAGAAACCTGGCAGACACCACCTTGATCAAGTAATAAAAGTGAAAATATCAGTAATGGGGGAAGTTAAAATCATGTGCACCTGACAGGATGTATTGAGAACACAGCATCACTTCTGTGATATTCCTGCCAATGATGTGTCACCTAAATATAATCATGAGAAAACTTCAGACACATCCATACTGAAGATTGTTCTTCAAAATAACTGGCTGGTATCTTAGGAAGTATCAAGGTCATGAAACTGGGGAAAAAAACTGAAAAATTTTTCTAGAGTGGAAGAACCCTGAGAGAAGTAACAATTAAATGCAACACATGATCCTGAAATTGATCCTTTGGTAAAAAAGAACATTATTGGGACAACTGAAATAAAGTCTGAGGTGTAGGTGAGAGTAACATATTAATGTTGGAAAACACATATTAAAATATCCAGGGAACACAGGGCATTATATTGGTAACTTTCTCTTAAATGGTCCAGAAAAAAAAGTTCTTTGCACTTGCAACTTAAAGTCTGTTGATTGTTTTAACTTTTTAAAAAACTTTTTGCATTTGAGGAACACTTCAAAACACAGTATAGTGCAAAATGCCAGGCTCTAGAAGATACAATACCTATATACAAGGCATTTACAACGGAGCAAAGGATTGAGACATGAACACTTGTATACCTGGTAAATCAAATTGAGCCAAGGATCAAATTTGACTGAAAAATTTTAACAGAGTTCTTGCCATACCACATTTCACAACATGTATTAAGGAAGGTTAATATTCCTTAAAAAAATTGCCCTGACTTGATCCAACTGATTTGCAATACTGAATATATGTATTCTTTATACTTCAATCCAATCCTCTGGTAACTGACTAGGGTGAAACTGAAGGCATGGCCCAACAAAGTGAATTTATAAGTGAAGAAAATGGAGCTCCAGAGAACAAAAATAAAGAACTCTTTGTTTTACACTCACTATACCTAGTGCCAAAGTAGCATTTATTTTCCAAAGTAGCAATCATCTCCCACAAAAAACTAATTTATAAAATAGAAGAGGAACCTGGAGTAAATTTGTTACAATGCTTTTCAAGACTCCTCATAAAACAACAGAAGAAAATGATCACTAGAGGGCACAGCTGTGTTGCTCTGAGACATGTATACATAAGGAAATTTCTTCAATTTTATATCTAAATGAATTTATACCATCATTTCACTTTTGAAATACAGTAGATAAGTGAGTTCATTTCCAACAAGGTGGGTGCAAGGCCTTGCCTGATACAGGTGATTTAGTGGCAGGGAAAAAAACGCTGTCAGAAAATTAAGACATTCTCTCATCTCCGGATTGCAATGTCATTTATATTTTTTTCTGGTTCTCAGGTCGTATCTATCATTTTGTAGCATTTAAAATAGGACAATGTGTCTCCCCATGTTTAAGTTGAATTTCATTATGAAGAAGCCTTTTTGCATTGTATATTATGTTAGCCAGCACTGCAGACACCATTCCCTTGCTGGCTGCTTTCCATTTATTTAAACCTTTGGCTTTTTACTGAGACTTAAATTTGAAATTTTCTTCTTTTAAATAACATCATCAGTAACTCAGAGTGATCACTTCTATGCCACTCTTACTGTTGGATAGTGAAGTTGTGAAATCTTAGTGCCTAATATTCTGTAGAATTTTTTCTTTTCAGTTAGGTCTCCTCTTCAATCAAGCAATGATGAACAAGATTTTTCTAGGATATTTAGCAGCCTGTGGTATGTGATGTGTGGAAAGTGGGCTGAAAGCCGTTCCGCTGTCAATGCTACATACCCCATGTCCACCCACCTGACACCTCTCTACTCACACTTGCCTACTCTCCCACATACAACTTTCCCTGGTCTTTCTCAAAAATAACTCACCCAAAAACACTGGTTAAGCATCTGAGCAATGCAAGGTGGAATAGAAAATGGTAAAAATTTATGCACACATAAGAGCCTTATAATCTAGTTAGAAAGGCAAAGCATAAAACTACAAAAATGTTGCTAACACATGGCTGTTTAATGAACAACTAAAATTATGTGTTTAGGGGATGCAGTGGCTCATCCCTGTAATCCCAGCACTTTGGGAGGCCGAGGTGGGAGAATGGTAAACCCAGGAGTTGGAGACCAGCCTGGGCCACATGGCAAAAACATATCTCTACAAAAAAAAAATACAAAAATTAGCCGGGTGTACTGGTGTGAACCCGTGATCCCAGCTATCCGGAAGGCTGAGACCAGCGGATTCATTGAGCCAGGGAGGACGAGCCTGCTGTGAGCCGTGATAGTGCCACTGCAATACAGCCTGGGAGACAGAGTGAAACCCTGTCTTTAAAAAAAGTTTTAACAGTCTATATTCTAAATTTCCAGAACAGTATCAATATTCTGACTCACTGTCACTTCATGTGTTAAAAAAAAAATTTAGCATAGTATTTAACTTCAGTATCTTTGGGGGCTCTGAATAACTGGATTAGAATACAAGTTTTGTCAACTGTTACGTAAATTCAGATTTCTCATCTGTAAAATGGGAAAAGTAGTGCCTATCACTTAGAGTTAATAAGAAGATTTTATTTTCTAGGATAACATACAGCAAGTAGTTAGCGATAATGGACAACTACATCATTGTCATATGTCAAAGTATATGTTCAAAAACTTTTATTGGAAAATTGTATTATTGTGGCTACATTTCAGGTACCATGCAAAACTCTAGATAAAGATGAATCACACAGCCATTGCCTTCAATGAGCTTACCATCTAATATTAATACTAACATTAGTATTATAAATATGGAATAGTATATATATGTCACAAATGTATATAAACATAAAAATACATATCCAGGAGGCTATTCCCAGATTTGTTTTTTACCACTGGGTGCATGAGCAACAAATTAAGACCATTGACAGGTATATTAACAACTGGTTATTGCACTGTGTTAAAAGATTCTGCTGTCATGGTGTCAATTAAGTGTTATGGGAGCCCAGAGATGCATGATACATCTGGACACTCTAAAGTGTAGCTCAGGATTCATCATTCAGGAAAATACAAGAACAAAATTTCAAGCAGATGTAACAAGCATGGGCTTTGGGTAAGACAAAGCTGTGCTTAAATACTGACTCTAACACTTTCTATCTGTGTGACAGTGTGTGTGTGTGTGTGTGTGTGTAAACACTACTACCCACCCCAGGGCTGCCTGAGGATCTTTTTTTAAAAAAAATTAAGATAATATTCATTAGTTCAGTGCAATTCTCTTGCTGTAGGTCTCTTTTCCCCTTCTTGTCTAAGGAGGATGCTCCTAACTAGATGTCTCTGTATACACCAGGCCGGCAAAGCACAGAAGGGTAACTGGAGTTCTAAATTCTTTCGTTATCACTGCTCCAAAGTTGTTTGTGGTTAATGCCTGGATTTCAGCCCCTCATAACCATTCACTTTACATGGGTTTCTGAAACCTGCTGCTTACCTACATGGACTTCTGATCTTCTGTCTAGCTCTGAACTATTACTATCTATTGTAAACATTTCTTGGTTTTTGTACTCCCATGTCTCCCTAATCCTGCTTCTCCCTGCTACTGGTAGCAGCACTCTCATTTCCTTCGGCAACCCATCTATTTTTCATTCAGTCTGTGTGGCTCTGGGACTCCAGCCAATCATAAAAATGTGTCTTCCCGGCTAGAGAAATTGGGTCCAGGATGGAGTACAATGCAAGTCAAAGAGAACCAGGCCCAAGACTTTTATTGGAACTTAGCAGGGCACACTTTCTCTTTCTTCTAGTTTTGGAGCTGAAGTTGCCAGAGGCCACCATTAAGAAAGCACCTGACTGAGAGTGAAGCCAGTGGAGTAAAGTATAACCAAAAGACAGTAATTTAAAAATAGCTTCCTGAGGACTTTTTTAAGGGCCTGGATCCACCAATACCTGAAGCCAGTAGATGTCCTAGATTTTTCAGCATATAAGCCAATAATTATTTTTCCATTAAGCCTGGTTTTGGGCTTCTATCACCTGCAACTGAAAGAGTCCTAATACCTCTGAAGCGTGTTGGTCAATGCAGTCTTCTAACTTACTTCATTTAATATTGGCTGCCTCTGCCTCTCTAAACCAAAGTTCCAGCTTTACTGCCATCATCACTGACAACTGAATTTATTACAAAGTACAGAACAAACTCACCTGCTTTCTCAGATCTGTTACATCTATACTAATCATGTCAATCTACACTGTGCTTACGGATTACTTCTATACTCTGAAGCTTATGGTAAAACCAAAATAAGTTCAATCCATCAATTCCCTACTATATTTGAAGGGCACAGCCTTTAACTACCGCCTCATACAATCTTAATGCTACTACCACTAATAATAATAACAGTAAGAATAATAGCTGAAATTTATCCAACATCTGCTGAGTAACAGGCATTACACCATTAGTGGGTTGTGTTTTGTGGGCTGCAATTATTATTTTTTTTTAAATGGAGTAGGATGGAATAGAATTAAGTAAATTATAATGAAATGCAGTGAAAAGAAAATATCAGATTGCATCCAATAGGCCAGGCATGGTGGCTCACGCCTGCAATCTCAGCACTTTGGAAGGCTGAGGCAGGTGGATTGCTTGAGCTCAGGAGTTCTAGGCCAGCTTGGGCAACATGACAAAACCCAGTCTCTACAAAAAATGCAAAAATTTCCCAGGCATGGTGGCACATGTCTTTAGTCCCAGCTATTCGGGAGGCTGAGGTGGGAGAATGACTTGAGCCCGGGAGGCCAAGGTTGCAGTAAGCCAAGATCATACCACTGCACTCCAGTCTGGGCAACGGAGCCACACGACTCTGTCTCAAAAAAAAAAAAAAAAAAAAAAAGGCAAGAATAAGTATTGGTTTGCAAATTTTTCTCTTCATTTATATTGTGTGTCTATGTGTGCATATATGTGATGATTTATAATAGGAACCATATGCCACTTATGGATAAGGAAATTAAGTTTGGAGAAAACAAGTCATATGGGGAACGTGATAATACCTACCATATAGAATTGTAAGGATTAAATCAGATAATATAATTGTCTGATAGATAACTGAGCATAATGAAAGTTAATATTAAACCATTTCAGAAGTTTTTTCATGTAACAATATATTAACAAATTTCTATTTCTTTATATAGTCTTTTACAACAGCATTTTAAATGTCTGCAATGTATTCCTTTGTATTTGCAGTTATTTCTTTGCTTGACTGATCTTATACTATGAGACACTTAGGTTCTTTTCATCTTTTAACTACTTACAATAAAAACTAACAGTGGCTGGGCACCGTGGCTCACGCCTGTAATCCCAGCACTTTGGGAGGCCAAGGCGGATGGATCATGAGGTGAGGAGATCAAGACTATCCTGGCTAAAATGGTGAAACCCCGTCTTTACTAAAAATACAAAAACTTAGCCAGGCGTGGTGGCGGGTGCCTGTAGTCCCAGCTACTCGGGAGGCTGAGGCAGGAGAATGGCGTGAACCACGGAGGCAGAGCTTGCAGTGAGCTGAGATCGCACCACTGCATTCCAGCCTGGGTGACAGAGCGAGACTCCGTCTAAAAAAAGAAACAAACAAACAAAAAACAACAAAAAAAACTAACAGCTTATGGCAACATCTTCTGTATAAATATTTTCATAGGATAAATTCGGAGAAGGGGACTAGCTAAGTCCAAGGGCATACATGTTGTAAACTCAAGTTTAAACCAATTTGCGCTTTACCCCAGCAATTGCTCTATTGCTCTAAGTCTCAAAACTCTGTCAAGAGTTTTGAAAGAACTTAAGAATCCATTTGTAGGGCAAGATACTGCTGTCATGGTAAGACCAACAAACAACAAAGCTGGCTTTGTGCAAACCTCATTAAACCATCCCCATGCCTGATCTTCAACTCCCTCAACCTCATCCCGTCTCCACGCTTGACTCACTCAGCTTTGTGTCTCTCTTAGAGCACTCCTAGTTTCCTCACGTAAATAACTATTGCTGCCACCATTGGATATACTCTCTGGAACCCGACAACGTCTATCTCCTGAATGCATAGGAATTGAGCAGAATCTTATTCTATTTCCCAAACACAATCATACTGAGTGCAATGATACTGACTGCTTGATTGCTTCAGCAGACTCTGATAGGTATTATTTGTAAACACCCAATACTCTTTTCCATACCTCTTCTTTTAGCAGCATCCCTGTCCTTTGCCAGTCCTTTCTTTTAAGGAACACCCCCCACCCTCCAGTTCCATGTAATACTAGTGAGTGCCCTTCATCGTAGTAACTCAACCCCTCCCCTAATGAGTAAAAACAAGATCCAATCTGAACCTATAATAGCAGCATATTCTTCTGGACACAGAAATTCGTATAAGGGACAGACATGGTACACAGGAAGGGCCAATCAGAGTCTCTCTCTGAGCTCAATATACAAATTTTGAGTGAAGAAACTCCGCTCCATTTGGCTACTAAATTATGATTATGACGTATGGTACTGCTTGGACCTATCTTCCCCAGATGTCTAGAGAAAGTTGTCTGCTCCAGAAGTAGTCCAATACACCCAGAGGACAGAGATGAGCAGATCAATAAATCTGATGACATCATTGGCCCTGCATTCAGCAGTGCTTGAAGTCAGCACCAACAGACTTCTGAGTCAAAAAAAACCAAAAAGTTGTTGGCCAAGGACAGTTTGATTGGTTTTCTGCTTCTAGTGATTAGAAGAGTCCTGACTGACACAGTTATAAAATGAGCAAAATTAACAATATATATCTTGAGTTCGGAGTAGGGAGGCATACAGTATGGAAATATTATATGGTAAATAGGGCAGGAATGGAGTTGAGCTGTAAAATAATATAAATAATAGTAGTTGTAAGAGAATGATGAATGCAAAATAACTCTAAGAAAGATACTCATTTTTAAAGGCAACATAATGAATTTAAATAAAAGAGACAGAGTGTGGAGACTCAGCTATGGTCTCAATCTACCTCTAGACAGCTACAGGTCCTTGGCCAATTCACATCACCTCTTAAGGACTTCATTTCCTCATCTAAAAATAAGTACACTGAATAGTTTAATTCTAGAATCTCTTATACCTCTAAAATCTAAGTTAACAGCCCAATAAAGTTATTGTGCTGTAACCTGTGTTTCTAGGAAATGCTATTTTCTGATTGACTTAGGCCTGGTTTACTGTCTGTTGAAGTGAGCAAGGGTGATATTACACTGCATGTGGAGGTGTAATGAAGCATATTACATTTGCTTTATTTTACTACTGATTTTTTTCTACTCATACTTAACAAGTCCAGGATTCAAATTTGCCAATTAAAAATATCATCTTTTTAAATCTTTTAGTCCTTAATAAAGACAAAAGAATAATTTTCCATTTTTTATAGTTTTATGTGCATATGGACTCTGCAGAGGAATTTCTGAAAAGTAGCTCTTGACCAAGCAGTTATTTCTTAGCCACAATTTACAACATTTTTGCCATATGGAGTCCAGGGTCAGTACTGGGTAAGCTCAATTGTTACCATATTGAGTTGCATGTGCACAGCGGGTGGGCAAGCTCATAAGCAGGGCCTTAGACAATGATTGCAGACTAACAAGTCTACAGAGGCCAAAGGGTACCTATGCATGCAAAATGGTCCAAAGAAGTCTGTAGAAACCTGGAAAATGCATGCCTTGTCTGAAGTAGGCAGCTGCTACTCAGCTCCAGTTTATTCTTGCCATGAGGGAGTGTGTGCTCAGCACTGCCAGAGAGTGTCTGATTCAAGGGAAGCCAGAAATCTATATTTTTTAATGCAAAATCTCCTGATTTTTAAAAGATTGGCAACTTATTCAAAGTTTTAAAAGTATTATGTGGACCAACAATGTGTGGTCCTAACGAAACCCATCTGTGATCTACCAGATTGTGACCTCTGCTCTAATAATTGTTCTAGAAGGGGTCAAACATTCAGAAGGAATGGTGGTAAGTCAAGGTCATTCATGAGCTAGATTAATTTTATGAAATGCTCAATGACTTCATCATCCATTAAAGTGGGTATTTTGGGACAAACACAGATGCCTTCTAAAATCACTGTGTGGTATTGTAATTGTGTCCTCACTAACCCCTCCTCTAATGTGTAATAACCATGTGGCTTGGATGGAACTGATTCCAATCCCACCCCACAATAAGAAATGCATTTTATTTCATTACTTGGTGGTGCATTTCTTAATGTAGTTTGCATTTGAAAATACTCAAGAAAAAGAGAGCTATAGAATCTATCATGCACATACCATTTCTGAGAAAATCTCAAGTGAATATTACAGTTGACTCAGTAATATAAAAAATATGGAACTGAAATGTTACTAAGCAAACTATAGTGATTATATCAGTCAAGGTTCTAGTTTGCAGAAATTAAGTTAATTTAACTTAAGGTAAATTTGAACAGAAAAATAATCTATTGGGAGTATATTAGGTACTATATTATTTATCTATTGCTGTACAACAAATTCCTGGTGATTTAAAACATCATTTATTGTCTCACAGTTTACATGGAGGCACAGCCTGCCTCCATATAAGACAGGTCCTCTGTCTTTGGATCTCCTGTACAGCTGCCATCAAGATGTCAGCTGCGGCTGCAATCATCTTAAAGTTCTTTTAGGTATGAATCTATTTCCAAACTCTTTCAGGTGGTTTCTGGCAGGATTCAGTTCACTGGGGGCCACTGGACCTCGGGCCTCAATTTCTCATGAGCCATTGACCAGTAGTAGCCTCCCATAGTCCTTTGCTACATGACTCATAGGGTGGAAACCACTGCAGCAGTCACTGAACACTGCACATCTCCTCCGGCGCTGCCAACTCAGCCAGTTCTGAACTCTAGATATCCTCTACAACATTATTTAGAATTAATGTCTAATTAGCTATTGACATAATCTGCAAATATTGTAAAAATTATGAAAGTAGCTTTTTAAAGAGATGTAAAATTAAAATAATTTATTATAATCACAAATAATAATAACCTGAAACTATTAGAAGAATGAACTTTTTTTATCCTACAAGGGGAGAATTAATAAATGATGGTATATACATTATTTTTAATCTTTTATTGTGAAAAATTTCAAGCATAAACAAAAAAAGAGAATATTGTTATTAACCCTCACGTATCTCCATCCAACACTGGTGATTATCAACTTTTTTTTTTTTTGGTCAATCTTCTGTCATCTCTTCCATACACTTTTTTCTGGCTAACATATTTTAAAGCATATTCCAACCAATATAAGTGATATGATATTGATGCTAATAAATAAGTGGCATTCAAAATTATTTTTTAAAAATTTAAGGTCATAATTAAATTTCTGTTTGTTAAATGTCTACTATATGCCAGACATCTAGGCAAACGTACAATGATAAGAATTTAATGTAATTTTTCAAGCTAAATCAGTGAGTGTTTATGTGTTAAATAACAGTTTTAAAATATACCTAATCGAATTTGTGAGAAATTCTGTGAATAGATTGAAAAAAATCAGACATTAATCTATGTCTCTCAGTCTTCTACAGAACAAGCTAACAAATATAATATACATTATATAATTTAAAAGCTTAGCATGTATATATATTGAGCTTTTTACACATAGACAATGCATATTCTTTTCAAAATTCATGATGCATTTTATAAAAGGGTTTCTTAATATATTCCAAATAGTACAACTAATAAAGGCACGTTCTTTGACAACAATATAATAAAAGTAAATATTTGTATGGCAACAAAACACAAATAATAAAGTCCACTTATTAACGAGAAATAAAATGTACACTATTGAGTCACAGAAATTCAAAGCATCAATAGCAGACTAATTAGAAAGCACCAGTGACCTATAAGTATGACAACACAACATTTAAATTTATGAGAAGTACTTACACCTTACTCCAAATAAAATGCATACTTTTAAATACTTTTATTATTCAATAAGCATTAATAAAAATAAGGCCAGGCACAGTGGCTCACACCTGTAATTCCAGCACTTTGAGAGGCCAAGGCAGGCGGATCACCTGAGGTCGGCAGTTCGAGACCAGCCTGACCAACATGGAGAAACCCTGTCTCTACTAAAAATACAAAATTATCCAGGCGTGGTGGCGCATGCCTGTAATCCCAGCTACTCAGGAGGCTGGGGCATCAGATTTGCTTGAACCCAGGAGGCAGAGGTTGCAGTGAGCTGAGATCGTGCCATTGCACTCCAACCTAGGCAACAAGAGTGAAACTCCGTCTCAAAAAAAAAAAAAAAAAAAAAAAAAAAGAATAAAAATTATCTATTCATTGCCTCTCAGCTCCAAATTTACCCTGCGTGATTGCTCTGTAAAATGAATCTTGGTCGGTCTTTGAAATGTTTTTTGCTTGCTGGCTGGCACTGAAGCTTTATCAGTAAAGAGTGTTGGAGAGACATTGTAATAGAAAAAGGATCTTGCTTCCTGGTTCTCGTGTGCTTATGAGGCAGGCTCCTAAGAGTGTGAGTGGGTGGCTTTTTCCAGCACCAGGCTCCTGAAGCACTCATAGCTTCTTGAGGGCTCAACTTTTGCAGTGCATGGCAGCCACATAACCTAGTGGTTAGCAGCCTGCCAGCTGCAGTGCTTGCAGCTTCTCCAAAGCCAAGCTCTTACACTGCAGTGGACAGCAGCACTCAGGGGCCAGAAATTCTCCCACTCCACCCCCCAACATCCCCTTTGCGTGCTTTTGTAGCAGAGTGAGACACCTTCCTGTGAACAATTTTTCCTAGCATACTAAAGGGCAGATTTCTGGCAAGTTTCAGAGAGCAGATTTCCAGCAAGTTCCACTGATGCAGCATCACAGAGACTTCTTTACCATCCAGTGAGCCAAGAGGGCATTCTCTCCAACAAGGTCAGATTCCAGTCCCAGGGATGGGGTGGGGCAGAGAGTGGGAGCTTCTTTCTTGGGTGCTCCATCTCAACCCGAGAGTAGTGGCTGTTCCTTCTATGTGCTATTCCTGTGTTTAATGTTCTCTTTACTTCTTACCAGCCAATCCCTAATTACTTTAGTGCCTTAATGTGGTTAATAATTCTTTATACTAAACCTTCCCTGTTCAAATTATGTGGCTTATCTCCCTCTTCTAATTGGATCCAGACTGATACAAACTATTCAATTCAAGAAATTAGAAAAAGAATAAAACAAAAGAAAGAAAAACAGAGGACATTACTAGTGATAAAAAAAACTTAGAAAAAAGAGTCAGTAGAATTGATAAATACATATAAGAAACCTTAAAAAATTGCCAAATTTAAATAAGCAAGCTTGTATGGCAATATTAATCAAATAAATAAAAGTGGCCGGGTGCGGTGGCTCAGGCCTGTAATCTCAGCACTTTGGGAGGCTGAAGCGGTTGGATCACTTGAGGTTAGGTGTTCAAGACAAACCTGGTCAACATGGCGAAACTCCATCTCTACTAAAAATACGCCTGTAATCCCAGCTACTCAGGTGGCCGAGGCAGGAGAACCACTTGAACCCGGGAGGCAGAGGTTGCAGTGAGCCGAGACTGCACCACTGCACTCCAGCCTGGGTGATAGAGTGATACTCCATCTCAAAATAATAATAATAATAATAATAGTAATAAGAGTGCACAAATGCAGAATATTAAAAGTAAGACAGAAAATAAAACAAATCTTAGAAACAGAGGTGATTAAGGCAGTTAAGAGAAGAATTCAATACATCTAAGAAAATATAAAAACAAAAACTGATTCAAGAAAAGCTAAAAAATCCGAATACAGAAATAACCCTGAGAGAAATAATAAAGAGCCATCCCACAAAAAAAAGCCTGGTTCAGGCAGTTTCACTGTGAAGTTTTCCAGTTTTCAAAAAGCAAGTGAGTCAGTCTTAGGCTCTTTAAACTGTTTCAGAGGGTAGGGAATGAAGAAAAGAGTATCCTCATTGTAACACTTCTGTAGGTCTCATAGTAAAGTACAGACAGTAATATCTGATGAGGCACTAAGATTAAGAGTAAACATGAATAAAGCAACTGGTTCAGTGATGTATACACTAAGAGAAAAGGAGGGAAAGAAACACTATTGTTGAGGTGCCTATTACTAGTGCCAAAATATCTACTGTAAGACATGCCCTCTGGGCAAAAGTGCTCCCAAAGAAAGTTTGGTTGCTTTTTTTTTTTTTGAGACGGAGCCTCGCTCTGTCACCAGGCCGGAGTGCGGTGGTGTGATCTTGGCTCACTGCAACCTCTGCCTCCTGGGTTCAAGTGATTCTCCTAGTTTGGTTACTTTTTAAAAAATAATCACAGCGTGAAATAGGCCTCTCTACAATATCTATAATAGGGGACAGTAATAAGAGTTAAAGAAAAACTATGAGAAGATGATATGGCCAATCCACAAAGAAAGGGAGGGACGGGCTAAAACACTCACTCTGAGTTAAGCACTATTTCTGGTGTGGTTCAAGAAAATACTTACTGAAATATTTGCTGTAAATCTGTACAGCAATGAGTGCATTAACATAGTCAAAAGACAACAAGCTAGAAAAACATTTGCAAGACATATAGCCAGCAAAAGCCTATTTTCCTAGATACTCAAGGTGTTCACATTGAATAAGGAAAGGATCAACCGCCCAACATAAAAATGCACAAAGGGTATGAACAAGGGGTATGAACAATTGATGCATGAAAAAATATATGTAAGTAGTATATACACACATACACACATCAAAGTTTTGGCTTGGAAAATTTCCTTTTGCTTATCAGAATTCTACTTATATCCTCAAGAAAGCGTTCTAGAGAGCTCCTTTAGCATCCCTAATTTGATGCTCAATGTTAATATCCCCTCTATTCATAGGGAAATACTAAAGGTTTCTTTAAACAAATAACATCTGCATGTGAAAAAGTTAATATTACCCAAAGTGAAACCAAAATTTTCTAAAAGTGAGATCTAAAAGTCATCTACTTCAACATCACCTGGCTGCTTTATAAAATGCAGATTCATGGGCTCTGCTGCAGCCCACAGAATAAAAATCATCTCAAGACCACAAGACCAGTGTGGTCTAAGCAGGAGTCGACCTTGAGTGCTTTGAAAATGCTTCTCGGCCGGGCGCGGTGGCTCACGCCTGTAATCTCAGCACTTTGGGAGGCCGAGGCGGGCGGATCACGAGGTCAGGAGATCGAGACCATCCTGGCTAACATAGTGAAACCCTGTCTCTACTAAAAATACAAAAAAATTAGCCAGGCATGGTGGCGGGCGCCTGTAGTCCCAGCTACTCGGGAGGCTGAGGCGGGAGAATGGGGTGAACCCGGGAGGTGGAGATTGCAGTGAGCCGAGATGGCACCACTGCACCCCAGCCTGGGCGACGGAGCGAGACTCTGTCTCAAAAAAAAAAAAAAAAAAAAAATTGCTTCTCAGGCAATTCATATGTTCATTTGACTGTGAGAATTCAGCCCCTGTGAATAAATAATAAATGTCTGCCTTTGTTTTGTATAGATTTTATAAGGTGTTTTTCATAAGCATTTTAAAATTTCACGCCCACACCCAGTCTGGGTGGTTGTCTGGGCTAGGAGTATTACCTCCACTTTCAAGATAAAGAAATTACAGTCAGAGAGATTTAGGGACTTATTCAAAGATTCATCTAGAAAATGGTAGAGCTCAGATTTCATTATATTTTCATAACTACAAGTTCTGTCTTTATCCATATGTAGAGCTCATACAAACCCCCTAAAACTCACATTTCTTCACATTTGCAGAACCAACTCACAGTGGTTCTTCAGAACAAAGTGACAACAACAGGTAGAAACAGCAGTAGTAAAGGATTACAAGTACCTTGGGAACTCACGGCTCCATGAGGCAGAAGTTGATTTCACAGATGTGGAAACTGATGGCCAGATGGTTGAATGGTTACACAGCTGTCCCTTCAAGAAGGAAGGGTCAGGAACATATCTATGATAGGGGACAGTGATAGGAGTTACAGAAAAACTATGAGAAGATGAGATGGCCAACCCACAAAGAAATGGAGGCATGGGCTAAAACACTCACCCTGAGTTGAGTGCAAGTTCTGGTGTGGTTCAAGAATAACTGAGCCAAAGACACTCAGCAGGAGAAGCAGCAAGACCAACATCAGTGACAATGACCCCAGGCCAGAGACAAGAAGCCAAGCACGTCACCCAGAGTCTCTGCCTCCATGGATTCTGTAGTTGGAGGACTCACATGTTTCTGCAGCCCCTTTCTTCCCAGATGCTTTAGAATCCCCACTGCAGCAGAATTTACTCTTGATCCACAGCCAGGCCTAAGAATCCCAGCATAAAGACCTCAGGAGAGATTCTGGTAGCCCCAGCTATAGACTTGCTCTTTGCTCCTTATGCCAGGGACTGTATGCCAGTGTCTGAATGTTTCCCTGGCCCCACAGTCCACCTTGCATCTACAGACCCCTTTAGTGACCTCTATATGTACCTCTTCCCTTAGAACCCTATAAAACCTTGTCCCCAGATGGAGCTGGCTTTCCAGATAGAAACTATCTCAGCACTGGGATATTTCTGAATTGCTAAAAGAGTCTGTCCACTGAAATAACTTGCTGATCCCCTAGGGAAGCCATTACAGAACCTTATGACAACTATATGTTAATCAGTTTATCCATGTTTTTGCCTGAAGATGCTATTTGTTCATTTTAATTGCTTTGTAGAATTCCACAGTGGAGCTATACTATACTTTTAAATCCCTTCTTCTGATGGTAGATAATTGAGTAGTTGCCAATTTTGGCATGTAATAAATATTGCTTTTATGTTAATGAATTTTTATTTCATATACATAAAATTGTTGTATAGTCAGGTTTAGAAGATAATGCCAAAGAGTTATGTAAAGTAGATTACCAAGTTACTCTCCTACAGGCAGTATACAAGAGTTCCTGTTGCTCAGGGTCCTCACCAACAATTAGTACTGTGAGACTTTATATATATATATATGTGTGTGTGTGTATATATATATATATATTTTTTTTTTTTTTTTTTTTTTGGTATTTTTAGTAGAGATGGGGTTTCACCATATTAGCGAAGATAGTCTCGATCTTTGCCTCGTGATCCGCCTGCCTCGGCCTCCCAAAGTGCTGGGAATACAGGCGTGAGCCACTGCACCCGGCCAGAGACTTTACATTTTTGTTAACCCGCTGATTGTGTTTTTTTCTTTTTTTTTTTTCATTTCTCTCATGACTAATGAGATGAAGCGCTTTTCATATGTTTTTGGACCATTAGGATTTACTCTTACCTGAAGTGTGTACTCAAGTGTTTTGTCCGTTTTTCTAATTGATTGTAATGAGTTCTTCACGTAATTTTAAATACTAGTCTTTCGCAAACATTTTGTCCCATTCTGTTGCTTGTCTTTTTATTCTTTATGGTGCCATTTAATTATTATTATTATAATTTTTTGAGACGGGAGTGTCATGCTGTTGCCCAGGCTGGAATGCAGTGGCGCGACCTCGGCTCACTGCAACCTCCACCTCCCAGGTTCAAGCGATTTTCCTGCCTCAGCCTCCTGAGTAGCTGGGACTACAGGCACACACCACCATGTCCGGCTAATTTTTGTATTTTTTAGTAGAGATGAGGTTTCACTGTATTGGCTTGGCTGGTCTCGAACTGCTGATAATTATTTTTAAAAAATATATTTATAATGAAATTTTACACCTCAGAAAATGATTTGTTCTTTCATTTTAAGAGACTAGGGTAATGATTATTTGGAGGAAAGGCATTAGAAAAGATTACATGTTCCATGGCATATTTTTCTGTAGTGCTTGGATTTTTATAATGATTATGTATTCCTTCATTCAACAAATATTTACTGAGCACCTAATATATGCCAAGAAAGGCTTTAGGTCCTAGAGATCCATTACTGAACAAAAGAGGCAGAGACTCCTGGCCTAATGGAATTTACACAGGAGGACTCCATATAGCTTTTATTTAGAAAAAATGCTATAAAAGACTTTGGTTTCTATCAAACTTTCATTTTGCACTTTTAAATATCTATATATAAAACCAACATGGCACAGAACTCAGAGTAAATACTTGAAAAGATAAGCAAAAGCTTTTTGTCCAGGGTTGCTATTGATTTTTCCCTTATTTCAGCAGCAAATTTTCCAGAAAGCACACTAAAATGTCAGACCCCAGGCCTCTCAAACATATAAATAATACAAAACCATATAAAATATTTATTTTAAAACACCTTAGTGTAATGAGCCACCTTAAATCAATGATGCAAGTAGTTTAAATGTGAGTCAGATTCTGGGCTGGCTTTGTCTATAGTAATTATATTTAAATTTCATTTTGAGTCAGTAATACATACACAAGGAAAAATAAATAGATGAGCATGTACGATATATGGAATAAATATATCTTGCTTTCATCCAGGATCTACCTCCTCCAACCCACTCGCCATCTACTGCCGCAGCCACAGTTAGCAGCTTCTTGTGTGTTCTTCAGAAGGTATTGAATTATGCACAAACACATAGGGATTATGTACGTGGTTCTATGTTTTAACTGTTCTGTACTGCTAGGTTAATTTTGTGAGTGGAGGCTACAGATTTGGGGGATAGGAGGCTCTGATAACAAAATGATAAGCTCAGAACTGAGCCAGGTGAAGCTGAAAGGGGGTCCCTGAAAAAGCCTCTGTACTCCCAGGCTGGCTCCCTTGCTGGTGCAAGCAGCCTGAGAATTGCTGGGATGCCGCATGAAGGTGGCAATGCCCTCCAGTGGATCCCAGGCTACACCCCTCCCACCTCAGCCCAGGCTTCACAGTGAACATTGATGTAGCTGGCTTCACTTCACCCCTTCTCCCCCAAATATAAAATGACTGCTGATGTCGTGCCACGTCCACTTCCTTCTCATTTCTGGGCACTTCCCTCTCCTCACCACCCACCATTCTGCCTGGGGGATGTCACTGCCCTTCTGTGCTCAACCCCTTCGTTTGCCTGTCCTACATTCAGCATAGCTTTCCTGAGTGCAAACTTGAAGCAATTTCTTGTCTTCTGTTAGTTAGTTTCTGCCCTACCCACACCTTTGGTCTCCTATGCTTCAGGCTTCTTCACAGGCACAAGCCAGTGCTCTGAGAAAGGTGTCTAGGTCTACAACGTTATGAGCCTTGGGGGATCAAGTTAATATTTACAGTGCATATTTTACAAATATCCCTCACCTCTGTACTAAAAAAGTCTCTCCAAAATTTGATTGCCAGTTTTAACAAATAAAAATACGGGATGCTTAGTTCAATTTCAATTTCAGATAAACAATGAGTGATTTTTTTTTAGCGTATATCCGATGTAATCATCTTTCATCTATATTTAATCTGCCAGTTCTATTTCCAAACCAGTTGAGCAGTTAAATTAAACAATCCTTCTAATCTGCATGTCTTTGGCCTGAAAAACAAAGTTCTAATCCTCCTTTCAATGACTGTGGCCCATACACAGCAAAATGTCCCACCAATTTCAAAACTGGGCATTTTGAGTAGCCTTGGGTCAGTGCAGGAGGCATTTCAAAGCGGTTGCTAGGTGGCAGACCTCATCTCTGGAAAGCATTTTTCACATTCTATTAGTACTGCTGGGTGAGACGAGCTTGGTAGTCAGCCCAAATGTGTATGATTTAGAGAGCTTCACTTTGTTACCATTTTTTCTTCCAATTTAAAATCTATAGCAAAACCAGGTTCAAATAGCACATCTAAAAAGCTTTGTCTTTTGAGCCAAATGCCAGAATGTCTAGGTAAACACAGAACTAAGTAATCACAGGCTTCATTTATTTCAGCTATTATTCTCTGCTGGACTTTTGAGGTAGATAAGACTAGATTTCTTCCAAACAGATCTGGGCAGGAGAAAACTTGAAAGTACCGGCCAGTCTTAAGTATCCTCATGTGATTCCTGATATAAATTTACCTGGAAACTGGAGTGGACACAACAGATTTGTTTTTTAAATCTTGAGTTCTTTTGCAAACATTAAACTGGTTGTACAAAAGGAATAGTGTAACACACCTTTGTTCAAATTACTTAACAAACTTCATGAAACAAGAGCTGTGATTCTACATGCTGTCTTGTTAATCCACAGAAGGAGCAGGATCCCGGAAAGGACACAAAAGAGAGAAATAATCATCAAAAGAATAGTAATAGTGATAATAGCACCTCAACCCAATTTCCCCAGAAAGTACCAGAACCCTGCTTAGAGCATGTTGATGCACGATGATTTCACCATTAAGACAGCATTAAGAGCAGACTCTAAATTAAACATAACGAAATTAAATAACACCTGCATCTTTGTTCAATAAAGTATTCTCTTTTACTATCTTACATCTTCCAGGCATTCAGGGATGGGAACAAAGCAAAGAATTACAGAAATGAAGAGCTGGAAGGAATTTTACAGTTTTTCCATTGGTGCTCAGATTTTGCGAATAAATAATTTAAATGTCTGTTAATAGGAAACTTGCTAATGAATTATGTAATATTAGGTGAAACCATATGAAATTCCTGATATTTGATTGCTTTTGACTCATAAAAATGGCAATTTTATTTGATCTACCTAATGCTCTACAGCTATTAAAAATATATGGTAGTTCTATAAGTACCGGCATTAAATGAATTGTATTTAAGGTAATTTGTAAGGAACAGAGGAGTGTTATAGGGTGCCAGTGTGTAGTATGTGTAGGGATATATATGTTTACTAATGTCTACCATACATCTGAAAATTTATAAAATACAACAAACTGTTAACAGTGGACGCCTCTAGCGGGCCAACTTGGAAACTAGAGACAAGAGTGACAGAGATTTTTTTTACTTTTGTGCAGTCCCAATTTTTACTACATGCATGTATTAAATATTTTACAGCAAACACAAAACAAAAAACAAAGCAACAAGGAAATCACTGTTTAGAGAGGTAAAGCGTCCGTACAAGGCATACAGTGAGCTCATACTAGAACACGTTGAACAAAGTGGCTGCTCAATTGCTTATCTCATTCCTACAATTCAAAGAACAAAAGCTAACAGCTCTTGGTGGCTGCCAGTTGTGGGAGCCACTCTTCACTCTGACCTCATGGTTTACCTGGGATCTTAATTACTCTAGTTAAACGGGGACCTTCCCCTTCAAAACATGGTGTCACTGGAGGTTCAATGCATCACGTTTGAATCATTCTCACTGCTGTTGTGGGTGAACAGATTGGATGCTGCAGGCAAGGGCTGGGAGCAAGAAAGAAGCCCTTCTCCACTTGGTGAAGTCTTCTTGCCATTTCCCTTCCATCTGGCCATGCAGAGTCCTCGGAGTCACTTTCAACAAGTCCTAACCCTTTTCTCATTATGATCTTTATTCTTTAACATGGAGTTAAAAATAACAAAATTTTATTCTAATTATTTGCTGTTCAAGAGGGGGGAAATAAATTAGAATTCAGTTTTTTGTGCACTTATCTGGCCAGGTCTCCCCTACTCTTTGTCCCCATCTCCATTTCCACGTCCTACTTTCCTCCAACCATTAGACCGGCCACATCCAAATTATTCTAATCTATACCAGTGCTTCCCAAACTGTGCTAGCGAGGAGGAACAACTTCATGTTGCAGCTGAAGAAACTGTGGTCTTAGAGATTAAATGACTTGTCTTCATTCCCACAGTTCAAAAGTGGTAAACACAAACTCAAACCCAGCTTCCTAATGTCTAGCCAAGTGTCCTCAGTCTTGAAACTAAAACTGTTTATTTCTCCCTTATCCTCCATCTACTGCCCTATTTTTCTCCTTCGTTTTACTGTCACAATTCCCACAGTTGCAGTTAAGTTCCTAGACTGTTTTCTACTTGCCTTCTCCATAAGCCCAGCCAGTTGGGTTCAGTGCCCACCAAGACTGAAGGTACCAGTTGCAAGGGCACTAAGTGAGCAGCATCTTTAGCATTCAATGCTATCTAAGGTTAGTCTTTCCCGATATACCATGGTAAGGATTATGTGCCTATTTTCTTCACCACTGTACCTATTGGTAGCCTAGGGCCAGGTACCAACCAGGAGCTGCTGATCTGACTTTCCTTTTGGAAACTTCCTTTCTCAGGCTTTTGTGGCTTTCTTCCCACTTGCATGACATCCCTTCCTCCACCTCTTTTTCTTTATAACTTTGGGCATTTTCACCAATTGATCAACCTGTCCATTACTGAAGCAATACTGGAGATAAAGAACCAGCCTGACGTTGGGGTGTTTATATATTATTTGTGAAAAATATAAATGCATAATGGAATCACAAACCATGTAACAATATAGTGTAATAATTATGAGCCAGGATGCATGGCTTCTTAACCTCTCTGTGCTATACTTAATTTTCTTGTGTATAAATGGATTACAGTAGTAGTTCCTACCTCATAAGGTTGTTGTGAGGATTAAATTATATAATACAGTTGAAGCACTTCAAAGAGGGTCTGTATACTGTAAGTGCTCACAAAATGTTAACATGTAAGATAATATATAAATCATTAATAAGTGTCGTAGAAAGTCTCCTTTTCAGAACTCTTTTCCCAAAGAGATCTAGTCAATTTTCAAAACCTCCTTTTCAAGTATCCTCTCCAGAATTTTCTTTGTCATTTTGACTTACCACTCCATTGTCTCAGGAATCATGGGGATTCCTGTTCAGAACATTGAAGATTTGAGAAAGGGAGAATAGGAGCCTCAAATAACAGCCAGCATCAACCAGCTGTGAGGCATGTGAGGGGGCTTTGTCCTCCCGACCCAGACAACCCCACAGCTGGCTGCCTGCTGCCACACTAGAAAACCTAGGTGAGACCTACTGAAGAACTGCCAGGCCAGCCCACAAAATGGTGAAAAAATAACAAATAATAGAAGTTGCTATTTTACGTCACTAAGTGTTGGGGTGGTTTGTTTCACAGCAAAACATACCTAAATATCACCATTAATCCAGCTGTGCAGAGTAGACATGACAACATTTTGGTGAATACTCAAAATCTAGGCATTACATATATACACAAATACGTTTTATATATTTACAAACAGTTTTACATATAGCTATTTGCAGTTTGTAAAACTCAAAGTAGGATATTTTGCATAGTGTGTATTAAAACAGTTTTCTAAAAAAACTTTAATTACATATTTTGAATTTTTGTATAATTATAATTTTGCATAATTATTTTTGGTGGTTGCATTGCACATCATGGTTTGTTAGCCAGTCCCTTGCTGACACTTAGCCTGTTGCTAACTTTTGGCCACCATAACAAAAGGTTTGGTTAAGAATCATCTAATTGCTCTCCAGAAAGAGGTACCAATTTACATTCTTACCATGAATGATTCAGAATTCTCTTTTGCCTGTGCTTTTACCAACAGTGGGTATTGCCTTTTTAAAAGACAATCTTGGCTGGGCACCCTGGCTCATGCCTGTAATCCCAGCACTTCGGGAGGCTGAGGCGGGTGGATCATGAGGTCAGGAGTTCAAGACCAGCCTGGCCAAGATGGTGAAACCCCGTCTCTACTAAAAATATAAAAATTAGCCGAGTATGGTGGTGGGCGCCTGTAATCCCAGCTACTTGGGAGGCTGAGGCAGAGAATTGCTTGTACCCAGGAGGTGGAGGTTGCAGTGAGCCAGGATCACGCCACTGCACTCCAGCCTGGGGAACAGAGTAAGTCTCCATCTAAAAAAAAAAAAAAAAAAGACAATCTTTGCTTATCTAATAAATGAAAAACTATCTCACTAATTCTTAAATTTTGTTTTTATTATTGAGATTGAGTATATTTTGATGTATAGTGGACATTCATGTCTTCTCCAAAATGCTTATTCTTACTCTGTTCATTTTACAACTTTCGTTATCTTATTCTTATTGATTGTATGATACAGCCACTTAACACTTTGTCATATATATTTATATATTTCAATATATAATATATATATTTAATATACAACATATAAATATTTAAATATATATGACAAAGTGTTAAATGGCTATATCATACACAAACCTATTTATATTTATATTTTATATATATTTAAATATTTTTCTCTAATTTCCTTCTAAGAGAAGATTTCCCTCAAAATGTATGGGTTTATGTGGCTTTTCTTAATGCACAAAGGTTAAAATGTTTAAATTGTCAAATCTGTCAATGTTTTGTTTTTTATTTCTGACACTGGTGTCATCATATTCATTTTTTAGAAGATGGCAAAGTTTAAATCTCTTCAAGGAGTATGTATTAGTCCATTTTCACACTGCTATAAAGATACTACCTGAGACTAGGTAATTTGTAAAGGAAAGAGGCTCAATTGACTCACAGTTCCATATGGCTGGGGAAGCATCGGGAAACTTACGCTCATGGCAGAAAGTGAAGAGGAGGCAAGAACCTTCTTCACATGGTGGCAAGAGAGAGAAGTGCAAGCAGGGGAAATGCTAGACGCTTATAAAACCATCAGATCTCATGAGAACTCACTCACTATCATGAGAACAGCATGGAGGAAACTGCCCCCATGACCCAATCACCTCCCTCCATGAACACATGGGGATTACAATTTGAGATGAGATTTGGATGGGGACACAGAGCCAAACTGCCAAATCATATCAGAGTAGTTAGTTGTCATTCAGGTAAAATCTCAATCCCTCAGTCTCTGTTGCATACCACATTCTATTCTCACCATATTCAGCCAAATTAACATCCCACAACTTCTAAAAGCAAACTGTGTTTTGGTGAGCTTAGTTTCTTGTATGTTTTGATGCATGGGCTCTGGAGTATTGTAAAGAAAAAGTTTAGGATTCTGACTCAACCAATTATCAACAGTATGAGAAGAGCTTTTTGGGCTTCAGCTTCATATTTAAGTGGGCTCAGAACTAATGTGAGATTAAGTTATGTGTAACAAACAACAAAGCTTAAAATACAGTTGGCACTTAATGAATATCAGTTCTCCAGCCATCCCTCCATGTTTTTGCTTATCCTGGGAAATCTTTCTGTGACATCATTGTCCGCTTCTCCACCTTGCAATACTTTATCTACCCTTCTGGGCCAGTTTTATCCAGACTCCTTCACAAAGGTTTCCATAGAACAGAGAGCTTACTATGCATCTTACACAGTTTGGGTGTCTTTTATTTTAATGTTTCAGTCATGTTTCATGAGCCAAACTGTAAGGTTCAGGAATGTTTGTCTTAATGCTTGGCACTTGAATGCACCCAATAAATAGTTGTTGAATGTATAAATAAACAAAAGGTACACGGGATGGGAAATACTGGAAAATTGGACATATATTGTAATAAGACTAGCTAACAATTTGCATTTAAAAATTAGCCAAATTATTGTGCTTGGGACACAAAATTTGTGACCAATGTGAATTTGTTTAGTAAATGTAGCCATATATATCTTGCGTTGTACCATTGAATATTCTAATAGTTCAATATACCATTGGAATATACCAGCGGAAAATATCATTACAAATAGTTTGACATACTGTATTTCTTCAATTTTAAGAATAATTTGGTACCACATTTTAATTTCTTTGAAACTGGGATGTGTCTTACTATCAAATAAACATCCAGTGGCCAGGTGATAGTGATGATATAGTTGGCATTGCCTATTTTTGAACATGGGCATAAATGAATTGTTATCATTTCTACTAAATTCTATGAAATTTAGTCCTGTTGTGTCAAAGCCATATGCCAAGAAACATAGTTGAAGGCAGGAGAAATTACCAGATATGACAGATTAGGTGAAAGAAATTCTAAAGCAAAGAGAGGTTGATATAACCAATTCATGTATCATGCAGGACTATGGTTAAGGCATGAAACTACCATTTGTGAGAAACTTTCTCCTGGCCATTAATAGAGAAGCTGCATAGCTTGTAGTGACATACAATTCAGTTGAACAAGAAAACTATGTGTTTAGTCAAATGGGATAGTGCCAGCATCACAACTGCAGAATGAGTGTCATTGTCTAGGAGGCAAATCCCAGAAACAAGATTGGAACATCCTTTTAAGAAATGGTGCACTATCAACAATATTGTGTGGAAAAACACACATGAATGCTTTTCATGAAAAGGTATTCAGAAGAATCAGGCTCAATGTTCGGGACTTTGGTAAATTCATTTTGCTTATATTTTCCTTTCCTACATACACACAGTACTAAGCAAATCTATGTATAAGTGTCTAAAAGCACTAAGTATAAAGTAAAAATTCGATATGACATAACATATTGTCATAGTTTTATTAGCAGCTCTTTTCCTTTCTTTTGAGTGGAACATATAATTGAAGATAGGTTAGATTTGAATAGATAACAATAAATTGAATAGGCACTAGGTCTGTGAGTTTGTAAACTTCCCTCAGTGAAGGACCAGAGCTTGGTGTTTTGTTGTTGTTTTGGTAGGTATTTTGTTGTCTGTTGGAAATGAGGTAAGAAGATCCTATGAAGTCGTCACAAATATTGGTTATACTTGTTTGTAGAAGCAACATAATTTCAAGAAAAGCCACCTTCTCACATCACCTTTTACAGCTTCTTAACATAGGTCACAGGTTGCATTTTGAATTAGGTGAATACTCCATTTGTCAGTCGGTAACCACTTCTGAAATTAATTTATTATATTTCCCCAATATAACAGCAATACATGTTGGTATAGAAAACACCTTATATTAAAAAAAAAGTCTATGTACCTACATGTGAGTATGTAATCAGCCATGTCTTCCACCCAATGTGGAAAATTTCTTTCTTAAAAATTTTCTTAGGCCAGGAGCGGTGGCTCACACCTGCAATTCCCAGCACTTTGGGAGGCCAAGGTGGGTGGATCACCTGAAATTGGGAGTTCGAGACCACCCTGACCAACATGGAGAAACCCTGTCTCTACTAAAAATACAAAATTAGCCGCGCGTGGTGGTACATGCCTGTAATCCCAGCTACTCGGGAGGCTGAGGCAGGAGAATTGCTTGAACCCTGAAGGCGGAGGTTGCGGTGAGCCGAGATCGCATCATTGGACTCCAGCCTGGGCAACAAGAGCAAAACTCCGTCTAAAAAAAAAAAAGTTTCTTATACATTTTTCGATGCCGTTTCTTTTTTTCTTTGTTTATGAAAATGTCTCAGATCAAAGTAATATATCTTCATTGTCCAGGATATTTCGTTAAGTATAGAAAAATATAAAGCAGCATGAAACATACTATCCTTCATCTCACCACCCAGAGATCACATCTTAATATTTTTGGCCATTGCATTCAATCTAGGGCAAAAACAGGCAGCATAACTTGCACACAGTGGATGCTCACTGCATCCCTGCTGAATGCATGAATGCAGAAAGAGAACTTGGAGAAGGGCCCATTTGTCTTGCTAATAGAATCAATTATACAGCTCTTATGGTCTAAAATTATTTGTCTTCTCAAGTTTGCCTCATTATTGTCACACAGCAGGAGCCTGGCCAAGACACAGCCATCTTTCTACTATTTGACAACCAAGCACTTTGGAAGGAATGGTCACTGTTTTCACTTCATTCCTGTCATTCATTCTCTCACTCATTAAATAAATATTAAGTGCCCACCATGTGCCGGAAATACGGAGAAGAAAAAAAAACATGACCCCTGCCCTCATGCAAATTACTGTGTAAAGACAAAAGACAATAAACATAAACACATAAATATATATATATACAAAATTTTATAAGTGCAAAAATAGAAGAGAACAAGTGGCTGGGAAAATAAACGGGGCAATGGTATAATTAAGGAGGGGACAGGGAAGGCCTTTCTGACGCAGTGACAAGTCGGGTCAAGAAGGAACGAAAGGGAAGGTTATGAGGCTGTCAAACTTTGAGTGTGGCCAAAAAAATAATGAAGAAAGTGATGGAGGAAAGACTAGGCTGAAGAAGTAGGGCAGTAGTGAAGTGTCTTGTAAGCCATGCTAAGGATTTTGAGTTTTATTCTATGTACTGTTGGAAACCAATACTTTTTTTGTAGTGTAAATTGAGCTTATTTTTCACAGATAGGTTTCAAGATGCAAAGCATACAAGGACCAAAAATAATTATATGAAAACTCTCCCTCCCTCCGGTTTCCTAGCCACCCAGTTTCCCTCTTCAGAGCTGCCAGTCTTTCCTACGGAAAGACTCTAGGCACAAACAAGCCCATCTATCTGTTTATATTATAATGCATTTTCAGCACTGGGACGAGCCCATCTGATTTAAGACCACCTGAATGCTGAGAGGGCATGACTCTGCGTTAGAACTCTGCGCTACTGCCCACGCATCTCACAAAGTCTACTACGCCGCGCGTTCTCGGTTTCAACGCACCTCCAGGATTCAGGGCTTCCTAAGCTGCAATTCAGCAGGGCTCCCTTGCTTGTTCTCACTCTGTGCCCCCGGCAACGACCCCGCGCGCCTACACTCCCGTGCCGCCTCAGCTACTAGTCCGCAACTTCTAGCCCCAAAACGCTGGAGCTCAGAACCCAGCTCAGGTGCGCTCGTCGGTTTCCCAGGGAGACTGGGGCTGATTGTAGGCACGCGGGGGCGGGAAGACAGCTTCTTGCTTCTGGCTGCGATGGAGGCGGATCTGGGCGGGGCCGAAACGGGGGCGGGGCCAAGTGTGGGGGCGTAGTCAGGCGTGGGGGCGGGCCGGCGCCGGCGCCGCGGTCGGCGGCAGCGCTCTCCTAAGCTCTCGCGGCTGCGCTTCGGTCCCGGACCCGGGCCACCCACGGGGTAGTGGGTGCTCCTCGGCCCCGGACATTGCAAGCCCCAGAAGGTAAATTTGCGTGGGAGCCGCGCACCTGGAGCGCGAGGGTACCCATGATGAGGGCGGGAGGCTGGATGGCGACAGAAGGGAGCGTCCCGCGGCGAGTTTCCCAAGAAAGCTGAACTCGTCCCAAGTTTCTTGTGCCTCGGCTTGCACTCAGTGAATGGGTGGCGGGCTCATTTGCTGCGGGTGGTCTTTTGGCGCGGGAGGGACGCGGAGGTGATTGGATTAATCCGCCTGGGCGGCAGCCCAGATTTCTGCCGGGAACCGCGCACCGCAGTGGTGCAGTTTTTGCCCGAGAAAGGGCGGGTAAGTGCGGTGCAGTCGTGTCCTGCGCAGCAGCAGGGGGACCGCCGGTCTGGGAGCACGCGAGTCGGCCAGGCGTCCCCGGTTGTCCAGAGGCACAGTTTCCTAACTTCTTTCCTCTTTAGGCAAGACTAACTCGGTGTTGCTCCTCCCGGCGCTGACTTCGAGGCCCGGCTATGGACGGCGAGAGCGAGGTGGATTTTTCTAGCAACAGCATAACCCCTTTGTGGCGGAGGCGGTCGATTCCTCAGCCCCACCAGGTTCTGGGCCGGAGCAAGCCGAGGCCCCAGTCCTACCAGAGCCCCAACGGGTTACTAATTACGGATTTCCCGGTGGAGGACGGAGGGACGCTCCTCGCAGCGCAGATTCCCGCCCAGGTGCCCACCGCCTCGGACAGCAGGACGGTACATAGGAGCCCCCTGCTTCTGGGCGCCCAGCGGAGAGCGGTGGCCAATGGTGGGACGGCATCCCCGGAGTACAGGGCTGCCTCTCCTCGACTTCGACGGCCCAAGTCACCCAAGCTCCCCAAAGCGGTGCCTGGCGGCTCCCCGAAATCCCCAGCAAATGGCGCGGTGACCTTGCCTGCGCCGCCGCCGCCGCCGGTTCTGCGCCCCCCGCGGACTCCTAACGCGCCCGCCCCCTGCACCCCCGAGGAGGACCTTACTGGGTTGACTGCCAGCCCGGTGCCTTCGCCCACTGCAAATGGCCTTGCCGCTAATAACGACTCTCCTGGGTCAGGTTCGCAGTCCGGCCGGAAGGCAAAGGACCCCGAACGGGGGCTCTTTCCTGGGCCCCAGAAAAGTTCTTCGGAACAAAAACTCCCCCTCCAAAGGCTGCCCTCCCAGGAGAACGAGCTCCTCGAGAATCCTTCCGTGGTTTTGAGTACAAACAGCCCCGCCGCCCTCAAAGTGGGGAAGCAGCAGATCATTCCGAAGAGTCTGGCCTCGGAAATTAAAATAAGTAAATCCAACAATCAAAATGTGGAGCCCCACAAGAGACTCCTCAAGGTGCGCAGCATGGTGGAGGGCCTAGGAGGACCCCTGGGTCACGCAGGGGAGGAGAGTGAGGTCGATAACGACGTGGATAGCCCAGGGTCTCTGCGGAGAGGCTTGCGGTCCACGTCTTATCGCAGGGCAGTGGTCAGTGGCTTTGATTTTGACAGTCCTACCAGCTCGAAGAAGAAGAACAGAATGTCCCAGCCTGTTCTGAAAGTGGTGATGGAAGACAAGGAGAAGTTTTCCAGTCTGGGAAGGATAAAGGTAAAAGTGGGCAGGAGTGTGGCACGCCATTCACTAAGCGGAAAGTAAATGTGTTGGGAGTGGGGAGGAGGAGCGTAGAGGAAACCCGAAGAAGTCATTCCGTTTTAATTCTGTGTTTTGCTCTTGATTGCTAGTGTACATCCAGCTCTTGGCCACTTTGATGCTGGCAGGCACAGCCGAGTTTAGTGCAACTTTGTGGGAAGAAGTGAAATTCATCACTTTTAAATTTCTAAGCTCAGGCAGAATTGGGGGGGACAAGAGTGAAATATGGCAGATTATTGGCTGAGTGAGTCTTTACCACTTTTAAAAGAGATAGCTGAAAGGGGGAGGAGCATGTTCAGAACCGCACTCTGCAGTCAAGTTGTCTGGAGTTTGCTTAGAGGTTTCAGTCAATGATAGCTGTTATCACAGCTGATTCAGAAAAATACTGATTCCTGTTTGAGCCTGTTGATTATTTTTTGCTTTTACTTACTGAATTTTGAGTGGTTACTACGCACTTGATGTCATTCAGGTAGAATGTGAATTTGAAAATCAGTTGCCAGGATCACAAAAGACATAAATATTTTGTCATCTTTTTTGTTGCTTGTTTTTGTCACCGTGGCCTTTGGTTGTGTTTTATTCCCGTTGTATGCCCATTCATCCTTGAGTGCATGTAACAGATTGGCAGCTGAAAACTTAAGGTTAGGGTGGACACTGTGTGGTATTGCTCCCCTATATTGTCCCATTAGCTGCACTTATTAAAATATTGTCAAATATGACATAAAGAAACAGGGAAAACTGAAGAGGGGTATTTTGGAGTGTGTGCTTCCTTCCACAGAAACAACACAGGTTTCAGCAATAAGGCAGATTCTTTTTGGCAGCCACATTTTTTCTTGGTTAATCAGAGCACTGGAACCAGTCTATATAAATGGCACATATGCAAAACACAAGCAAGCCTGTTTTATTTTAGAGCCCGTGGTCTTAAAGAAAATAAATTACATAACATTTTATGTGTTTTTTCCAACTCTGCAAGTATAGCAAAGTTCAATTTAACAGTGATGGTGAATCACGAGTTGTAAAATGAGCTGACCTGCTAGTTATTTGAGGATTCTCAATCTGTTTTGACAGGGTGTGGGGGATCTTGTACATTTTATTTCATTGTTTCAGTGAATTGTAGTGATCAAATGAGTGAACTCCTCCAGGGCTCAGCTTCTGTGCGCTCTTGGAAATCTAATTAATGTAATGACTAAAAAAAAGTATTTTTACTTAAAATAGCTGTATTTTCTATTTGGCTCATTCATACATAGTTTGCTTTTCCTTTTTTTTTTTTTTTTTTACTTTTTTTTGTCTCTTAGAAAAAAATGCTGAAAGGACAAGGAACATTTGATGGGGAAGGTAAGCATTTAATTTTCCAAACTTTCATTGCTGTTTCAATGTGGAATACCAATTATAAGTTGAAATCCAACTGCAGTAACAAAAATGCTTACGATGAGAAATATGTCCAACTTCTTCTCAAATTATACAGTCCAAAGCTTCTCACTAAGCTAAATTTTTATCTAGTAATACTAATGGTGAATATAGTTAATGGCATTTTTTATAGGCTGATAACTTTTTCAGTCGATGTCCTGGGATTTTTAATTCTTCTCTACCTTGGCTCCATCCCCATGTTCCTCAGGAAGGGTAAGAGCAAGATCTAGCTTTTTAGTTAAAAATTCTGATTTTGGCATTTAGATCTGAAGTCATATTTCTTTAGGTCACATTTCCTTTGACTTAGTATTCTGCCCATATTTCCACATTTGATTATCATTTCTGACTTCCTGTTTCCTTATTAAGTTTCAGCTTTGGGGAAACTCTAACTCTCCTGGCTGACAAAAACATATTCTTAAGACTTTTCAACCCATGTAGTATTTTTATTAAGGATCTCAAAAAAAAAAAAAGCAGCTTCAACCAGGTGTTCAAACCCTAATCAGATTAATGGACTTTTTTAAATAGATGGGTCAAGCGTCAGCCAACTGGAAGAGCATGAAGGGAGCAGTCCCAGCTGTAGCACTTGTTGGGCTAGAGGGTCATGGTGGTAGTGAGGGTAGTTAAATTTTTGTCATGTTTTGAAGTGTGAAGATTTTCCAACCTTCAAAGAATAATAAAGAAGGGAGTGCCCCTCCATAGGTCAAGCAAATGTACAATCACCCAGAGTTATAAAATATGTAGCCTTAGGTGATTGTCAAGTAATTCCCTATATAATTTTTATAAAGATGAGTTTCCCATTGGAACATTTATAAATGACTTATCTATAAAAATTCATTCACCGCACCAATCTTAGGAAATCCAGATATAGTATTTAGCTGGTTGGAATAAGTTCATCTCCCTAATTTTATAATTGAGGAAACCAGAAGATCTGAGAGGTTTGGTAACCTGTCTGCTGTCACACCTAGTTACACAGCCAGTAGTAGGACACAGATCGAGTTCTTAGTCCAGTTTGCTGCTTCTTATAGCACTCTGACTATGAAGTGAACAGCATCTACCTAATATTTACCTAAGGAGATGCTTTACATTCCCTGGAATTTGATATTTATTTTGTGACCTCTGCCTAAGAGAGTTTAAAATTTTTAGATTTTTTTTGAAGTCAGAGAGTAGACTTCATTATAACTAGTTTTACGTTATTTCCTTTTATAAGGAGCTGTTTCTGTGTATCCTCTCATTTCTTCTCAAATATAATGACCTAGAAATTTTTTTCATGTACATACATATGTACATGAGGAATGCAGGATTCTTACAGTTAATGATTAACAAGAATGTAACTAAAGAAGCAGTGTGTCTAAATGGTGAGAATCTGTGATATTAGAGCCAGGCAGACCTGGGTTCCTGTCTTGCTGTTCCTGTTCATCAGTTAAGTGATACTGAGAAAAACCCTTAATATCACAGGGACCTCACTGAGCCACCTCATGTGTGAAATGAGGTTAATAATACTGTTGCCTAAGTTGTTGTGAAAATGAATGAGAAATCTGTCAACAATGTTATGCATATATACTTTGTGCCAACTACTTAGTACTTTGAAGACTAGGGGAGACTCAGCCTTTACCCTCATAATCTGCTTTACATAGCATGACAATCAGAGACCAGTAAAATCTTGAATAGACTCCAGTGTTACTTTAGTCATAGTGCATACAGAATATTCTGTAGTTGATGAGAAAAGGGGCAGATGCATGCTTGTTTTGGTAGATGGGAAAGTCAGTTCAAACTCAAAATGCCCCAAACCAAACTCATAATCTTCCCCACTAAACCTGAATCTCTTCTGGTGTTCCCATCTCCTACTTTCTGGTTGTGAGGCCTGCAGACCTAGGAAACACCCTTAACACCTCCCTCTCTCTGCCCCCATATCCGGTCTTTCACCAGTCTGTTCTATGTTATGTAGCTCAAATCTCCATCATCTTTCGTTGACTACCCCAATAGCTTCTTAGTCTCCTAGGTAGTCAATGTTTTGCTGTCTAATCTAAGCAAGTCTTTCCTTTTCATGGAGTCCCATTGTGTTCAGGAAAGAAATGCTATCATGACAGTGTGAAAGAAACTCAATCCTTTTGTACTCAGGGTGAAATCCAGTTTTTACCATTGCCTACAAATATTTCCTTGATTTGGACTGTCTGGCTCATGTCTCTAAACTCACCTTGTACACTGTGGCCACTAGACATACCCAAGCTTTTGCCACGTTGACTTTCCCTAGTTCTTTTAAGATACAGCCATGCATCACTTAATGATGAGGATACATTCTGAGAAATACACCCTTGGGCAGTTTTGTTGTTGTGCAAATATCACAGAGCGTACTTAAACAAACCAGATGGTATAGCCTAGGATATATGGTAGAGCCAAACCTGTACAGCATGTTACTGTACTGAATACTGTAGGCAGTTGTAACACAATGATATTTGTGTATCTAAGCACAGGAAAAGTACAGTAAAAATACAATATAAAATATTAAAAATGGTACTCTTCTATAGGACTCTTACCGTGAATGGAGCTTGCAGTACTGAAAGTTGCCCTGGGTGAGTCAGTAAATGAGTAGTGAGTGAATGGGAAGGCCTAGAACATTACTGTACACTATTGTAGACTTTACAAATACTGTACATTTAAGCTATATTAAATTTTAAAGAAACTTTTCAATCATTAACTTCAGCTTACTGTAACTTATTTTGTAAAATTTAAAAATTTTTGAATCTTTTCAACTCTGGTTTTAATACAGCTTAAAACACAAACACATTGTACAACTGTACAGAAATGTTTTATTTCTTCACATACCTATTCCATAAGCTTTTTCCTATTGTAAAAAATTTTCATTTTTACTTTTTAAATTCTTTTGTTGAAACTAAACACATGCATTAGCCTAGGCCTGCACAGGGTCAGAATCATCAATGTCACTGTTCTCCATCTCAACATCTTGTCCCACAAGAAGGTCTTCAGGGACAGTAACATACATGGGGCTGTCATCAATGATAACAGTGTCTTCTGGAATACCTCCTGAAGGACCTGCCTGAGGCTGTTTCACAGTTAACTATTTTTTTTTTTTTTTTTTGGTAAGTAGGAGTGCACTCTAAAATAATGATAAAAAGCATGGTATAGTAAATACATAAACCAGTAACATAGTTTATTATCATTATCAAGTATCATGAACTGTATATAATTGTATGTGCTATACTTTTGTATTTTTGGCAGTACAATCGGTTTGTTTACACCAGCATTACCATAGACATGTGAGTAATGTGGTACACTACAACATTTAAGATGGCTAGGTGATAGGAATTTTTTAGCTCCTTTATAACATATGGGACCACCGTTGTAGATGTGGTTTGTCATTGATCAAAACAATATTATGCAATGCGTGACTGTATTATGTTTCCTCTTATGTTCGCATTATAGCTTTTGTGTATGCTTTTCCTGTAGCTCTGTAGCTTCTCAGCTTTCAGACCTTAGACTTTCCTCATTGACCAAATATCTGACTGCCAGACTAGATCACACCCTACTGACAGTCTGTTCTCACCTCTATATAAATCCTTCAGTTTGTAGGTATGTATTTGTGTAAGATCATTATGTTCTCAAACTTATAGTGACTTGCCATCACATTTTGAGTAAAAATCAAAGTCCTTTAATGGCTGAGGCAAGGCCCTACATGATCAGCCCTCTGGTCACCCACAACTCCCATCTTCTTCTTCTTTTTTTTATTTTGAGATGGGGTCCAGTCTGGAGTGTAGTGGCATGATCTCGGCTCACTGCAACTTCTGCTTCCCAGGTTCAAGCAGTTCTTCTGCCTCAGCCTCCCGAGTAGCTGGGACCACAGGGGTGCACCACCACACTCGGCTAATTTGTTGTATTTTTGATAGAGGCAGGATCTCACTATGTTGCCCAGGCTGGTCTCGAACTCCTGACCTCAAGTGATCTGCCCATGTCAGCCTCCCAAAGTGCTGAGATTACAAGTGTGAGCCACCATGCCCGCCGGCCTCAACTCCCATCTTCTGTACTTTCCCCCCATTTCCTTGTACTCCAGCCATGCAGTCCTCCTTGCTGCTCTTGGTACATACAGACATACCAAGTAGACTCATGCCCCAGGGCTTTGCACTTGCTGTGTCCCTGATGAGATGCTGTTTGGGCACTAGTTCTTCATCAGAGTCAACATCAAGGGCCTTTTCTTTGTAGTTTTGATACAGGTGGCTCACTTTCTCACCTGTTCTATGTCTTTACTTAATTGTCACTCCAGTGAGGCCTTCCTAAACTACCCTACTTAACATCTACATGCCCTCCTCCCAGCGCTTTCTACCCCCCTTCCCTGTTTCATGTTTCTTCATGACACTTATCAGCATCAAAATACTATCAAAGTTATTTGCTTATTTATTGCAGTTCTCTCATGCTTTAGTATCAGCTCCTGAATATTGAGATTTTTAGTGTCTATTATTGTATTTCACGTGCTAAGCTGTTGCCGGTTCCTAGTAGGTGTTTTCTAAGTAACAGTTGAATGAATAAATGCATGAGTGAATTTGACAGTTTTTTTAATTAAACTGTTAGCTCATGAGAGGTGGATGAGGGCATGAGAGCTCATGAGGCATCAGAGGTGTCTTTCTTTTGTTTTCCATTTTACTCTCAGCCCTTGGCACGTCATAGATACACAATAAATGTTTATTAAATAGATAAATGAATGGTGATGGACCTTAAATAAAAGATAGGATGTAATTTAACCTAAATTACAGTGATTTAACAGGCCTGACTGTCCTTCATGAGTAGTGGACAGAGACATGGAAACTGCTTCTGTTGGCATTCTCTGTATGGGCTGGTCCCCTTCCCCTGCAGTTGAGTTTGAGATAGAGCTATGTGAATGAGAAAATCACTTTTCTGTAATTATTCTTCAGGGACTAAATCTGTTTGTCTCTCTGTTTATAAAATTGGAGGCCAAACATTGGGTACATATGATGTTTATTTAGAACAAGTAACATAATGATTGAGAACAATTAGTGACACATAGGCCTTGTTTTCTTGCAGAAAATGCTGTCCTGTATCAAAACTACAAGGAAAAGGCCCTTGACATTGATTCTGATGAAGAGTCAGAGCCCAAAGAACAGAAGTCAGATGAAAAAATTGTGATTCACCATAAGCCATTGAGATCCACATGGAGCCAACTCTCTGCGGTGAGTGTTTATCTTCTTTTCTATCTGTGGTAGGAAAAAAACAAGTTTTGGAAATTATGTGTGGATTTGGCTTTTGTTCTTTTCTGCCAGTGATCCTGTAACTAAGGAGAAAGACTCTTTTTAGATTGTGAAATGTTTCTCGGAACTCTGCCCGCACTAATGAGAACATGAACTTTGACACTTCTGATCAGGAAAATTAGGTTTGATAAAATAAAGTGCTATGAGATTGATGTACTGTGACCTCTGGAAACTCTTTCTGCGAGATCTCTCTTTTTGTTAAATATAGCCTGCACTTTATCATAATTATGGCTATTTACATATATATGCGTGTGTGTTTATGTATGTATGCGTGTATATGTACATGTATGTATGTACCTGTATATGTATCTCTGCACAATAGAAAGCTAGTTACAATTCTTCCTTGGAAATTTTTTTTTTTTTTTTTGAGATGAGGTCTTGCTCTGTCGCCCAGGCTGGAGTTCAGTGGCGTGATCTCGGCTCACTGCAGTCTCCCAGGTTCATGTGATTCTCCTGCCTCAGCCTCCTGAGTAGCTAGGACTGTAGGCGTGTGCCACCATACCCAGCTAATTTTTGTATTTTTAGTAGAGATGAGATTTCACCGTATTGGCCAGGCTGGTCTTGAATTCCTGCCCTCTAGTGATCCGCCTGCCTCAGCCTCCCAAAGTGCTGGGATTACAGGCATGAGCCACCGCATCTAGCCCTTCCTTGGAAATTTAATTTGATATAGAAATGTTTATATATTCTTAAAGCTGATTAATGAATGATATTCTGTTCCATCTCTGTGCCTTTTTTGTATGCCTGTCTCTGACACTTAATTTTGTGTTGATGAGTAATTTCTCCTCTCTGCATCAGACACCTTTTGTTTTTTAACTGTATATTTTTTTCCTCCTGGCTTACAATGTCACAGTTTGATGCTTAGTTTACTTGATAAGAGTTTGGGCACAGCATTTGCGAATATCTGATGAATTAGCAAGTAGAAAGGAATTCCCATGGCTGGCTTGGTTCAGGGGAGCTTTGCATCAAAAACAAGCCAGTACACCTCCATGAGTCCTTAGGCAATATCAGAGCAGAGGTGACAGAGATGTTTAGAATCAGGAATCTTGTGTATTTAGGGAACCCACTGGTGTAAGAAAAGGAGTTGTTAATGTTGGTGCTGTATAGCCAGGGCCGTGGGAATATGTGTATGTAAACGGTGGGAGACAACTTCTGCTTCAAGCTCTACCTTCCCTCTTCTAACCTGTATTGGAATTCAAAATTCAATACACCAAGCGCTTTCTCCCTGTCTTCTTCCCACCTCCTAATTTTGTTCTCAGGAGAATCTGTTCATTTCCAGGGCCTCTGAGGTATAGCACCCTTATGATTATGCCAAAAATTAAAATATTCACAGTGTCAGGGGAAGTAGAATGAATATGTGATGCTGGTATATGTAGGTGATAGGGAGTGGTGGGAGCTGTGGTGAACAGGCCTTATATAAATTGAGCAGCTACTACTTAGCTCAAACCAGGTGAGTGCAGGGGCTCAGTGTGACCAGATGTTCTGATAATTAGAAAAGAGAATGTACAAATCCAGACTTTTATGAGTATTTTCTCAACTCAAATTTTAAAGAAATGTTGTGTGTCCAAGAAAGTATTCAGATTTGCCCTCTATGCTAACAGTTTGTAACTTCTGTGATATTTTTAAAATTTTTGCATGTGGTTAGGTGGTAAAAGCTAGCCACAGAATTGGTTTATTAGCAGCCTTATACCCTAATCTAATGATCTCATGATATGTGTATCCCAAAACAGATATGTGGAAAAACTGATGACAAGGTCCATTGAGGCCATGTTGGCTCTAAATGGCTGTCATTCAGTTCATTCAGTTGTTGGTATGGACCATTTGGTAGAGGATCCAGGAGAAGAAAGAAGGCTGTGAATTTTTTGTTTTCTCTCTGTGGCAGCAGCTGGGTTTGTTAGCACAGGCCTAAATCGTGCTGTTGGTCTCTGAAAGAATGCTAAAAAGAAATGTGGATTTTTATGTCAGTTACACCCTGATCTCAGTTTAGCCCAAGAAACAGGCTGCCATATTTATGCCTCCTGGAGTTTGGCTTTCATATACATGAACAAATGTATATACAATTAAATAATAGTGCATATCCTTCAGTTCAACTTTGTTTATGGACTTGCATTTTATTTGGCAAAAAATGAATGTTGTGTCTTTTGTAAATGATATTGATATCATAGAACTATCTTGTAATAAAATGTAAAACTATAAAGTGATTTCTGATTTTAGTGTATGTTATCTTGGAGTTGAGTGTTCCCGGGAGGCTTGTGTGTGTTTATTGTGTTGCTTGGCAATTAAATTTAATGAAAGCAGCATGATTGGACTTGGCCACTTAGCATTACTTAGGCACCAGCCTGCATTTCTTTGTGCCTTTTGTGTCTTCTTTTCACTTACATTTTACTTTAATTTTTTTTGTTATAAAGTGCTTTAAACCCATAGAAAAATTAAAAAATAAATAAAGTTAATCAATTTCTGTGTACCTATCACTCAGATTGAACAAATGTTAATATTTTAACATATTTGCTTCATTTTCTATTTTTTTAGACTATTACAGCGAACCCCTCCTTCCTTTCCAGTTCTTTTCTCCTTCCTACCTCCCCAGAGATAACCACTATCCCTGACGTTCTCTTCTGTCCTTCCCATGAGGGTTTTCTGTCCACCAAAAAGATATAACCAGTTCTGGCTTTTAGGAAAGTAGATATTTTAACACCAGAAAGCAGCCATTACCTTTTTAGAAGCTCATCTGCTACTAAATTTTCAAGTTGTATTTAGGACCCTAACGAGCGGAGGCTTCGTGCATCATTAACAATGTCAGGATGTTTCTCAAAAGTGATCGGCACCTCTATTTCTCTATCTGACCCCTCCTGGTAGTGAAGCTGCAGCGTTTAGGGCAGGTCTCAGAAGACTTTCAACTTTAATATATATATTCAGCTTTAATATGTAATATATAAATATATATGTGTGTGTATATATAGAGTTGGAGGTCTATATATATAAATACCTAGTATAATGTATATATTAAACCTAGCATCATCTACGTATATAAAATCATCCTTCCATGCTTAATTTTAATAATCAAAATAGTAAGGTAGCCCGTCTAATTTTGAGTATAACATTTTAATGCAAAACTCTTCTTAAAGACAAGGGGTTTTCTGGCAGTGGGTTAGGTCTCAGTTCGGCATATACCTTCACTTCCTGCTAAGGAGGGTAGGGAGTGAGTGCACATGTGCATTAGCCGGTGTTGTTTTATTTTCTAAAAAATCTTTTTATTGCAAATGCCTGCCTCCTGGGATGGTGAAACTATCCTTATCAGTTGACTATAAGAAGCATTCAGTATGCTGAATACTTTTGAAGTGCAGCAATTTGCAGTAATTTATGGTTGTTACGTAAGATCTTTAAGCCTTGAGTCTGTGCTGTAATTTGTCTGGGCGTGTTTATGTTTCCTTTGGTTTCATTGGACCATGCTGGGTAAGGCAGTGTTCAGCTATACAGATGACAGGTGGTTCCCCATTTATGGTGTTGGGACAGGTTTAACTGTAGTGTTGTCATTTAGGAATAAAGGAGAATTAGAAGAGGCATTTATTTAGTTGGGCCTCAGTAGAATAATAAATGATAGTCATTTGTTTAACTGAGCCTCAATAGAATAATGAGCCACAGACTTCTATATTAGGACTAAAGAAATAAGGCTGCACACCTACAACTATCTGATCTGGCAGGTTTGTAGAAGATCAGATAGTTGTAGGTGTGCAGCCTTATTTCTGGGCTCTTTTTTCTGTTCCATTGGTTTGTGTGTCTGTTTTTGTACCAGTATCATGCTGTTTGGTTACTGTAGCCCTGTAGTGTAGTTTGAAGTCAGGTAGTGTGATGCCTCCGGCTTTATTCTTTTGCTTAGGATTTTCTTGGCTATTTTTTGGTTCCATATGGATTTTAGAATAGTTTTTTTCCAGTTTGTGAAGAATCTCAATGCTAGTTTAGTAGGAATAGGATTGAATCTATAAATTGCTTTGGGCAGTATGGCCATTTTAATGATATTCATTTTTCCTGTCCATAAGCATGGAATATTTGTCCATTTGTTTATGTCATCCCTGATTTCTTTGAGCAGTGTTTTGTACTTGTAGAGATCTTTCACCTCCCTAATTAGCTATATTCCTAGGTATCTTATTTTTTTGTGGCAATTGTGAATGGCAGTTTGTTCCTGATCTGGCTCTTGGCTTGACTGTTGTTGGTGTATAGAAATGCTAGTGATCTTTGCACATCGATTTCGTATCCTGAGACTTTGCTGAAGTTTTTTTTATCAGCTTAAGAAGCTTTCCGGCTGAGACTATGGGGTTTTCCATATATAGGATCATGTCATCTGCAGACAGGGATAGTTTGACTTTCTTTCTTACTATTTGAATACCCTTTCTTTCTTTCTTCCTTTCTTTCTCTTGCCAGATTGCACTGGCCAGGACTTCCAGTACTATTGTATTAGTCCGTTTTCATGCTGCTGATAAAGACATCCCTGAGACTGGGTAATTTATACAGGAAAAAGGGTTCAATGGGCTTACAGTCCCCTGTGTCTGGGGAGGACTCTGGGGAGGCTTCCACAATGGTGGAAGGCCAGGAGGAGCAAGTCACGCCTTATGTGGATGGCAGCAGGCAAAGAGAGAGCTTGTGCAGAGAAACTTCCGTTTTTAAAACCATCAGATCTCGTGAGACTTACTCACTATCATGAGAACAGCACAGGAAAGACTGGCCCCCATGATCACTTAACTCCCACCTGGTCCCCCCAACAACATGTGGGAATTCAATATGAGATTTGGGCAGGGAAACAGACAAACCATATCAACTATATTGAATAGGAGTGGTGAGAGACGGCATCCTTATCTTGTGCTGGTTTTCAAGGGGAGTGCTTTCAGCTTTTGCCCATTTAGTATGATGTTGGTGATGGGTTTGTAATATATGGCTCTTATTATTTTGAGGTATTTTCCTTCAATACCTAGTTTATTGAGGTTTTTTTTTTTAACATGAATCAATGTTGAATTTTATCAAAAGCCTTTTCTGCATCTATTGAGATAATCATGGTTTTTGTCTTTAGTTCTGTTTATATGATGAATAATATTTATTGATTTGTGCATGTTGAACCAACCTTGCATCCCATGGATAAAGCCTAGTTGATCATGGTGGATAAGCTTTTTGATGTGCTGCTGGATTTGATTTGCCATATTTTGTTGAGGATTTTTGCATGGATGTTCATTAAGGATATTGGCTTGAAGTTTTTTTCTTTTGTTGTTGTATCTCTGCCAGGTTTTAGTATCAGGATGATGCTGGCCTCATAGAATGAGAGAGGAGTTCCTCTTCTCCAATTTTTTTTGGAATAGTTTCAGTAGGAATGGTACCAGTTCTTTTTACATCTGGTAGAATTTAGCTATGAATCTGCTTGGTCCTGGGCTTTTCTTGGCTGGTAGGCTATTTATTACTGCCTCAATTTCAGAAATCGTGATTGGTCTCTTCAGGGATTTGATTTCTCCCTAGTTCAGTCTTGGGAGGGTATATGTGTTCACGAATTTATCCATTTCTTCTCGATTTTCTACTTTATGTGCCTAGAGGTATTCATAATGTTTTCTGATGGTTGTTTGTATTTCTGTGGGGTCAGTGGTAATATCCCCCTTGTCCTGAAATAATGTTAATGGTCGTAGTTCCCAGTTTGGGTTGGTCAAATGTGGAAGGGATTTGAGGTTTTGAAACCTCAATGACTTTGAAAAGTAAGTTTTGACCCCTGGAGATTATCTGGAACTCTACTCAGAGACAAAAACCCTGCTGCACGCAGGTAAATCACCGGTGCCTCACCCAAAACAGCAGCACAAACATTAAGCCAGCAGTTCTTGGATCTCTGGGAAAAGCATGTGGGTTTGAAGGAAAATATTGATTGTATTAGTCAGGGATGGAACACTGTGTACTTGTTACAGTTAATGCCAGGTGTGTAGTCAGCTGAACTTCAGGTTTTCCAAAGGGTTCATTCATTAGTAGGACCCCGGAAGTATTTATTGTCTTTTCTTTTAGATAGATTTTGACTAGAGTTTTTGCTTTTCACTGTAAGTACCCCCTCCACCTCTCCAAGATCATGTACTATGCATGTATGAAGAAATGACTGTTGCAACACCAGTGTTTGTTATGTTAAGTTCGGTGATGGAACCAAAACCATATTTGCCAGCTGTGCCCTGACCTGATTTATTTGCCATGGGGTGCGTTTGTGTAATTTCCATCACCTTGAAATGCCAGATACCTTTGAAAAGGGTGTTCTCTGTTCAGCACCTAATAGAGTCATCCTCTACTGCACTCTTCTTTTGTACTTGCTGACATGTGGCTTTATCAGTAATCTTAAGTCATTGGAATGTTTCTTCAGTTTGCTCAAATATTTTGAACTCTGTAGTCAGAAATGGTTTGATTTCTTAAAGTATTTTAATTTTAATTAAAATATTTTAACTAAAGTATTTTAATTTTAATTAAAGTATTTTAAGTAAAGTATTTTAATTTTAATTAAAATATTTTAACTAAAGTATTTTAATTAAAGTATTTTTCAGCTCTGTGCTAAGTGTGACTAACAGTGCAATGGGAGATCTAGAATTCAGACCTCAGTCTCTGGTTCTGGGCTCAGCTCTTAAAGCACACATAGTGTACCTGTGGGAGACTTTCTGGAATTGCAGGATGAGAAAGGAAGATTTGAAAAGCAGGAATTTTATTATAAATATCATTTCATTCCATTGAAAATGCAGCAGACACTTTGGCATCTTAGTAGTTTGAGGTGATGGGACTTATTATTTTAGAATTTACTCTGTGCTTATTGTGAAAGACATACTATTTTCTAGTAAAAATCAGAGCTCAACAAATGTAATATACCTGAATGTCATTCTGTTTGCAGAAATGCTTAATGCATTTAAACTTATTCTTTTCCCTAAATTTTCACATTTGTCTGAATTTTCAGTTGTTTGTGACTTGTTGCTTAAAATAGTAATTTCTGTAGTTTTATAATTTTTCATTTACAGTTTGGCAACGCAGCAGTCTCATAAGATTATTTTTTTACTTTAGATGGTGACTAAAACCTTTTACCATATCTTTTTTTGTGTGTGTATAAGATATGGAAAATTATTTTCACTTTTTATAACTGGCTCACATTTAGCTCACATCATGGTTTAAACAGAACTGCAAGCACATACTAGTCCACATTTTCAAGTTGGCTTGTGGGTCTTCTGGAATCCTTGTGTCTTTATAAACAAAAATAGAGGCCCATGTGCCTAGACCTGAGATCCATGGTTTGGATATTTTTCCCCTCCAAAACTCATATGGAAATTTAATTCCTGATGTAGCAGTATTGAGAGGTGGAGCCTTTAAGAAGTAATTAGATCATGAGGGCTCTGCCTGCGTGAATAGATTAACAGCCGCAGATTACTGGGCTAATGGATTAATGAATTATCATGGGAGGGGAGCAGGTGGCTTTATAGGAAGAGGAAGAGAGACCTGAGCTAGCTCGTTAGCATGCTTAGCCTCCTTGCCATATGATACCCTGCACCACTTCGGGGCTCTTCAGAGTGTCCCCACCGGCAAGAAGGCTCTCACCAAATGTAGCCCCTCAGCCTGGAACTTCTTAGCCTCTATAACTGTAGGAGATAAATTTCTTTGCTTTATAAATTACCCAATTTCAGGTATTCTGTTGTAAGCACCCCAAAACGGACTAAGACATACCCCAATTAGAATTACTACTCTAGCTAAGAGAGATAAAGGTGGGGGACTACTTAGCTTGGGCCAGGGACTGGGCTCTGTATGTGGTCTTGCTTTTTATGTATAATTAGATTATGGTACATTTCTGAAAATTAACTTGACTTATGTAAGCAATATATAATATGTCCTTCATGTAGAGAATAATTCAGACATTTTGGACCAGGTACAGTGGGTCCTGCCTGTAATCTCAGAACTTTGGAAGGCTGAGGCAGGAGGATCTCTTGAGCCCAGGAGTTTGAGACCAGCCTGGGCAACATAGTGAGACCCCTATCTCTTAAAAAAAAAAAAAAAGAAGAAGAGAAGAAGAAGAATTGGGACATTTCAGATTAGACTAAAGGCTCTTTTGGTCATTTGTGCAATCCCAGTCTCTATCCCCTTCTCCATAGATAATGCTGCTCTCAATTTGGCAATACTCTTCTGAAAATCCACATATATACATTTAAGGAAACAATATAGATTACCCATATTTATGTAAATATACAGACTATTTATAATATACAGCTTGTTTCTTTTCTGCACTATGTGTCTTATAAGTCATTTCATATCTACACATGATCTACAGTGTTATAACTGCATTAATACATAGGATGGATATGCATTTAGCCATCTTTACTGGGGGAGTGTCATACATGCTTTAAGAATCTAATAAAAATTATGAGCCATAGGCTTTCTCTGTAGAAAAATGCACACATGTATACATGTAAATTTTTTTAATAATTTTTGTTTTTTCAGTTTTAGTTGGAGAGTATTTTTTTCTTGACTTTATTTCCAAATACTAGGAGCACCTTAGTGTAGCTTGTTATGTATTGAGTACAGTTTCCATGTTGTTAATATCACTTTAAAAAGTTTTTCTGTATCTGCATTGTTGCAGCGTTGGAACTTTATGTAACTCCTAAAAATATAGACAGAGATTGAGGAAAAAACTACTCTGGTTGGAGCTCACTAATTAAAGGGCAACTGAGTGGTAGATCTGCCAATATTTATGTAATTGATTCTTCTGAGAGAACAGTGAAGTGTTGGGATATGGGGGTGTGTGCACCAGTTGCCCGAGGGTAGGCAGAGATCAGAAATGACAGGTGCTCCAAGAAAGCAGGAGGAGATGAAAACACGGTTAGTTAATTGTTATGGGCATAACTACAAAGGCAGATGTTTCAACTACAAACCTACAACAGGGTCCAGACAGAGAGGGTCTTCTTACTTCATTGAGTAGAAAATCGATGAGAGAGATTGATGAATTCATTGTCTTCATCAAGGGCCTGCCCCACATGAAGTTCTGTCTATGGCAGGCCCTGGAGATAGAGCAAGAACAGACTCCACCTTGCATTCATGTCCTTGTAAACAACCTGAATGGCGAGACAGATGTCAGATATCAAATCATCCCATAGATAAATGCATAATTACTATTGTGGTAAAGCTGTGAATGACTTACTGGTGCTGCTGCAAGATCTTCTAGAAAAGAGCACCTGTCTGGGCAAGGTGCGGTCAGTGGAGAGCAGGTGTCAGAGGAGGTAATGTGAGCTGTCATCTGGAGGGTCCAGGACGATAGCTGGTGGGGCACAGTTGGGGAGTGGCAGGGTAGAAGAGTCTCAGGTAGAGAAAATGTCATGTGCACAGACATTTGGGGTGATGGTGGGTAAGAGGAGTTGGGATAAGGCCAGTGCAGCTGGAACATCTTGATCTCCTTTGTGGGTTTTTCCTCATTCCTCTGTTCTCTAAATTTTGGAGGGCCCCTGGGCTCATCCTTGGGCCTCTTCTCTTACCTGCACTCATGTGGTGGTTTTATCAATCTTGTACTTTTAAATATATCATATACTCGGATGACTTCCAAGTTATTGCTTACTATGAAATCGAATTAAATTTTGGACTTATTCTCAACTAGCTATTTCTTTTGGGGAGTTGGAAGGGATACATTCAAGAATAATAGCAGTCTGTAGGAAGAGAAGGCTCAGGGATGTTGAAGAGTTCTGAATAACTGCATAGAAAGGCTTTTTCATACTGACTTTGGATTGCAGATTCATCTATGGGATTCTTGTATTTGCCCTGTTGAGCTTAATGTATCCTCTTGTGGGGTCTCCTTCCTCAGTCCAAAGATAGGGCTATTTCTCAGGGCCACATCCACACAGTGGTTGGTCTCCATGATGATTGGAGAGTGTTGTCACCTTTAAAATTACTATTGAATCTTTAAATAAGGAATCCTTAAAAATTTGTTACTCAAATTTTGTGGATTTATCTGGAGCACATATAGCCTGTTAATTCTCTAGATTATTAGCCTGTACTCTAATATCTTAATATTAGGATGTTTATTATCTATATTTCTATTATTTTGAGGAGATAAGAACTATACAGTCAGTGGACAACTTCTGTAGCAGGAAGTATTATTGACAGTAAAATAAAATTGCAGATTATTTCCCTCTTTGTAGGAAATAAGCCTATCCAACTATAATAATACAAAAATGGAGCAATTTCCACTTAGCCTGGTTAGAAACCCTGCTTCTGGTAGTGGAGTGCAAAGGAGTCTGATTGTTGTGTGCCCACCTGGGCAACAGGGAGCCCTTATATCCACATGGGTCCAAAGTTCTGAATGAGCAGACTGAGTTGCAGGATAGCTGTTAGCTCTGGGATCATCACAGTATTGATTTGTTTACATGCAGTTAAATTACTGACCACATATTTGCAGGAGACTTATTGTGTACCAGGATTGTGTTAGGTAATTTCAGATACAGTTTATGTAGTCCCGGGACAATGCCACGAGGGTAAGTACAAATTCTTTACTTTGTAACAAGTCAGCTGAGAGGCCAGGATGTTAAATGCGGCTGCTAGTTAAGGTCTTGAGATTACTTGGAACAGCCTCTGCAGTGACCTCAAAAGATGGATACATGTACCTAGGGCTCTGGAAGAGCAGGAACTATGTTTCTCCCAGGTGCTCAGCCAATAATGTGACTGCAACTCTGACTTGGGCTTTTTTTTCTTCTCATAAATTGGCTTATTTTCCCTTTTTACTATGCTTGTCTTTTTCCTGAAAGCTCCTGAATACTCAGGGTTTCTGAGTGCTTTTTTTTTTTTTTTTGAGATAGTCTAACTCTGTTGCCCAGGCTGGAGTGCAGTGGCACGATCTCAGTTCACTGCAACCTCCGCCTCCCATAAGCGATTCTTCTGCCTCAGCCTCCTGAGGAGGTGGGATTACAGGCACACGCCACCACGCCCGGCTAATTTTTGTATTTTTAATAGAGACAGGGTTTTGTTATGTTGGTCAGGCTGGTCTCGAACTGCTAAGCTCAGGTTATCTGCTCGCCTCGGCTTCCCAAAATGCTGGGATTACAGGCATGAGCCACCATGCCCAGCCTCTGAGTTCTCATAACTTACACTTGAGCACTTGAGACTGTGTTAACAGCCCTGTCCTTCCCTCAAGTCACTCTTTCAGCTTCCATCCTATTTTTTTTTTGAGATGGAGTCTTGCTCTGTCGCCCAGGCTGGAGTGCAGTGGCACAATCTCAGCTCACTGCCAGCTCCGCCTCCTGGGTTCACGCAGTTCTCCTGCCTCAGCCTCCTGAGTAGCTGGGACTACAGGCGGCTGCCACCTTGCCCGGCTGATTTTTTTTTTGTATTTTTAGTAGAGACGGGGTTTCACCGTGTTAGCCAGGATGGTCTCTATCTCCTGACCTCGTTTTCCGCCCGCCTCGGCCTCCCAAAATGCCGGGATTATAGGTGAGAGCCACCGTGCCTGGCCTTCCATCCTATTTTTGAAAGGATGTAGGCCAGAATGCCAAAGTGAGTTACACAGTTTAGTTGCCCAGTTTAGTTCCTTGAGAAAGAGAATTATATTGGCTCAGCTACTTTGCCCCCGCTTAATAGGTCACTAGAACATGTATTGTCATTTAGCTAGGTGCTTAACTAACTCTGCTCCAGTCAGCTTTGGCCTCCATGATGTACTATGGCACAAAATGTGGTCCCTTGGGGCTGCTGCTTTTGCAGAGGCTGTGAGTAGAATGGTTTTTCTTGTAGAGGTCCATGGAAGTGTTAAACGACATGACTGACTGACTTTTGTCTAGTGTAAATTTATACATCATGGAGTGGACATTGTAACCATGGTCTTTATCAGCAGCTTAACATGATAAGAAATATGTTTTACCTTATAAACCAGTATGTGTGTCTGAATGTGTATGTTTGCACATATGTATGTGTGTATATATCTCAAAGAAATTTTACAAGGCAGGAGTTACTTTATACTTCTGCTTGCAGTGTACTATAGTATTTTTAATTTTTTTCTGTTCTGTTACATTTAAATAGATAACGATCACTTCATGATAAGACTTTATTTTGCATTCAATGCCAGTTTATAACTTATAATTTGAACAGTGGTAATATCTGACTCCAAAATTCATTTGTTTTCCACTGCACTGTAGTGAATGAGGCAAACAAAACAAGGCTAAAACCCAGCCTACCCTCCAGGAGCTTAGAACCTAGAGCAGAAGACAATAGAAATGAAATGTCTGAATGATATTTTGAAAGGATGTAGGACAGAATGCCAAAGTGAATGACACAGTTGAAATCACAGAAAGCAGTGAAGTGAAGATGAGGAAAGTTTTGTCTATAGGATGTAACTTAAACTAGATGGGCTATTTGGGCAGAAGAGGAGAAAATAAAAGTAATGAAGGTGTAAATTGCTTGAATAAAACTTTTTCTTTTTTTTTTTTTCTTTTAAGGTAGAGATAGGAAGACAGGATTTCACCATGTTGGCCAGGCTGGTCTCGAACTCCTGGCCTCAAGTGATCCACTTGCCTTGGCCTCCCAAAGTGCTGGGATTACAGGCGTGAGTCACTGCGCCCAGCCAATAAAGCTTGATAGGTAGGCAAAGGGAAGAAGAAAGATAGGACTTCTGTGTCTGTTTCTCAGATCTCCGTACAATAAGGTAATTCCTGTCCAAAGAAACCACTGCCTGCTTTGTACATCTAATGGAAAGCATCAGTTTACTCTATTACCCATTTTTCAGAAACAGATTTTGCTCAGGTTAGATTTTTATTGCAAAATCTCAGAAATTCAGAGTCGCTGTTGTTCTAAGTAGCTTATTGTTTTGGAGTTTCTCATTCCTATCCACTGGTCATTTTACAAAAATAGCAAGCAAAAATAAAATAGCAACTAATATATTGGCATCACCTTTAGAAATAGGTGTTCTTTTCTTCCGCAAGAGAGGAACATCAGACCTGTTGTACCTTCCTTAACCCCTTGACTCATACCTTCACTATGTGTAAATGGCATCATTCTCAGTTACGCAGACTCCTTTATCCTCCTTTATCTCTCATGCTTGCAGATTGGCCTGTCATCACTCATTTTCAGCACTGCCTCATAAGCTATTGCTCAGTTTGGACTTGATTAAAATCTTTCTTTCTTATTGCCTCCCTTTACCTTAGCTTCTCATTTCTTTTATCTACAGGTGGTCATCTCTCATTTCTCTAGTTTCTCTTTGGGGCAGCAACAAAGAAATAGAGGTATTATTGGCACCTTTAAACAGTTCTACTTGTCTGCCCTACTCGTTTTGTTTCTTTTTTGGGAGAGGATGTTGAAGTAGTATTTTAGTTTTTGTTATTCGAAGTGTTGCTTTAATTGCAAAGCCAAGACATGTTTATTACAGAAAAATCAGAAAGTACCAATAGATAAAAAAATTGAACTATCTCTTTCTATTCAATCACTATTAACATTTTTGTCTATAACTTTTCAGATTTAAAAATATATAGAAGGATTGTCTTTTACGCAAAAATCAATAATGTAGTAATAGTTTTGTCACTTTTTTCCCTTAACAGTGTCGTAAATATCTTTTCATGTTATTAAGCCTGCTGTTTTGTCACCTTTTTTTAACAGTGTTATGAATGACCTTCTATGTCATTAAATATTCTTCTACAACCTTTTTAAAGCCCACATACTAGCTCCTCAAATAAGTGGATGTTTAGCTCTTTTAACCAATTTCTTGTTGTTAATCATGTGTGTGTTTCTAATTTTTCAATTTAAAATTCAAAATTTAAGGCTGATTAAGTTTTTTAAAATAATTATTTTTGAACTACTGAAGTAAAAGAAATACATTCTCCTTATTAAAATATTAAATGTAACAGTTAAGACTGAAAGCTGCTTAACTTTACCACCATTCCCAACCCCTCAGCTGTTAACCACTGCTATAAGTCTGGTCTGTCCCCCAGTATTTTATTAAATAGTGCACGTTTAAAAATTGTTAGTCTTCGGTTAAATTATAGAATTGCCCTTTACCCTGAATTTATTCCCTTTCATCCTTGTTACTTCTGTGTCATTAGCTTTTCATGTATTTGTTAACCTCATTTTCTCTTCTTAATTTAGCTGATAGATACATGAGAACTGCATCTCTTGCTCATTTGGGGGATAGAGAATACATAAATTTTAGTCCAGGCTCAGTAGCCCACAGCGGGAAATGCAGGTTAGAGAGAGCCACAAGGAAAAGAGGAATTTGTTTGGTGGTAGAAATGTCAGGATTGATCAACAAGTTAAATGACCAGGGAGCCCTGCTGACAGCTTAGCTTTCACTGCAGCAGAAGCCAGGAAGCCAATGAGAGATGTTGTTTCTGGGGCATTCAGGGGGAGCAACTTAATTTAGGGGAAGAGTAGCTTGCACAGCTCTTAAAAACTCTGAAGTTTTAGAAGGCAGTGTGCTACAGTGATTAAGAGCTCAGGCTTTGGGGGTGGACAGGCCGGCCCAAGTTTGAATCTCAGCTTTCCAATTATTAGGGTGAATGACTTAACTTTTCTGTGTCTCCGTTCTTTATTTGTAAACTAGGGATAGTAATGCCTTCCTCACAGAATTGTTACAGGGTTTAGATGCATGGAAGGAACAGTACCTGGTTCATGGTAAACATTTGATATAATGGTAGTTTGAGAAATAAATTGAGAACCAACCAGAACTCTGAATCAGGAATTGACAAGACATGGGTAGCAAGCTGGTGAGTGCTGGCTGCAAATGAAGTAATGCACGTTTATTTCCTAAATGTACAAAGCACAGCAGTTCATTCTTGTGCATTTAATTACTTATCTGTAGTTTGTATTCTCAGCCTCATGTCTGTATTGAAATGATTTGGATTCATTCAGGAATCCTGGCTCTGTCTGTAGATGGTGATGCAGGGCATAGAGGAGCAAGTGTCCTGGTCTGCTTTATCTGAGTTTTCCATTATTTTAGCAAACTCGATGTTGCCTGCTTGAGGCTGAGTACTTGCTATTTCTTGAGATTCAAACACTTTTTTGAGGATTATAGAATTAAGCTTAACAATAGGACATCAGAGAGATCAGCTTTTTGAACAAATTAATTTGGATGTCACTGGCATATTACCTGATGCATTTTTAAATTAAGCATATGATTTTATGATATGTGCTATTATCCTTCTACTTTTTCTTTCCTTAAAAAAAGCGTTCTCTCTCTCTGTTTACCCACCACTCCCCAGAAGGATGACCCATCTTGACCTCATGTCTAGTGTTTGGTTATGCAGATCTCTGGCCCTTTGAAATTTGTGTTCTGTGGCAGCTCCTAGCTAGGAAAAGTGATGTCTTAGAACCTTTCCTTGTGGATGTAGTGGGGTTAAAGAGAGCCTATTGGGTCTGGTTACAGAGGACACTCTTTCTGGACTCTGGCAGATTTTTCATTTTAAGGATTTCAAGCATACTCTCAAACTGCTGCTGTTCCCATGTTATTTACAGTGAAAGAACTCTAGCTCACTTGTAATTCAGGGATGACTCAGGTTACATTAAGTCTGTAGAAAGGACCTGAGAGTGATTGTGTCCTGTGGTATAATTTTACTTTGAAATCCCTTCCCATTTGAGCTCTTGAGAAAAGAAGCCTGTAAGTAGAGAATCACCAATAGACATGAAAAGCAAGCTTACTTTCAGCAAATGGGTAAACTCCATTGAGTTTTAGCTCAGATGGGTGTTCAGTATAAATTAGTGCTTGATGGAGACAGAGTGATCTTGGATTGTAAATCTAATGTAATTTTTAACTGGCTACATTTTTGAGTCTTTTTGGTTTGTGAGGCTTTTGGGTTCTTCCCATCTGTTTTCCCTAGTGGTGGGCAAAAATAGAAGGAATGCACATTCATCTAGAAACACTATCGAGTCATGGAGGGTCTGAGAACAAAGAGGGCATCAGAACATAAATATCCCTGTTTACTTCACAGAAAATGATTATCTGATCAGCCAAGAGACTGGTGCTAATCTTGGTTCTCTCCACAGATGTAGGACTGGCTGTATCCATAGATAAGTTCTGTGTAAATGGCAATTTGAGGGATCTATTTGGGGCTTAGAGAACTTGGCTCATAACCTATTCCAGTTAGTAGAGTCAAAGACCAAGAAATATTACACAAAGTTTATAGTTCTTTTACACAGTTCTCTGCAAGGTGGAGATGCTTAGTGTAACTGTGATGAGTGTAATAATGGACTCACGGTCTAAAGCTTGTCTGTTCCTTTTTAGAGTATTTATCTGAGAAGCTCAGACCTGCAAAGTACTTTAGTTTGGGCTGCCATAACAAAATACCATAAATTGGATAGCTTATAAACAACAGAAATTTATTTCTCACAGTATTGGAGGCGGGAAAGTCCAAAATCAAGGCAGATTTGGTGTTTGGCAAGGGGCTGCTTTCTGGCACATAGTGCCTTCTTGCTACATCTTCACGTGGTAGAAGGGTTAGGGGTTTCTCTGGGGCCTATTTTAAAGGGCGTTAATCCCATTCATGGAGCAAAGCTTAATCACTTCTTGAAAGGCTCCACCTCCTAATACCATCACCTTGGGGGTTAGGATTTCAATATATGAATTTGGGAGGACACAAACCTTCAGACCATAGCACAAGGTATCAAAAAGGAAACCGGCATGATTTTAGGTGGAGTGTCTAATTACCTTTTGGATCTATACTTTGGGAGTTTACCCTTTTACAAATTTCATAAACTATGTTTTGGGTCTAACTAGACAGCATCATATCCATAGAAGAAATATCTTGTAGTGTTCTTTATTAGGTTTAGCCAATTACTAATTTCTATCTCATTTCGACATGCAAAATATATCAGTTATAAAGATCACAGGTCAAGAATTTCAGCACCAATTATACAGTAAATTTGTAATTATGAATTTAAAACTATTATAACATTAGCAAGTTCTATGCATTCACTATCTTAATAAGGCACAGATGTATGCTTATATTTTTAACATGTCAAAACTGTAGTATTGTTCATTTTCTTGTTTTATTTGAATTTTTATCCACTTAAAATGCTGAAGATATAGACATATGTTCATATATTCTGTTTAAAATTCAGAATCTACAGATTTGAACAGTTTGTGAATTGGCTGGATTATACAAAATCAAGAACCTCACATTAAATCCAGTTCTTACTGCTTTGTTAAAAACTACTTTTGCAATTTTACTTGTTGATGACATATTTAAATAAGAAATTTAAACCAGTGAGGAATAAGAAAGTTCAAATGAGGTTGCTTTGGCTGTCTGTGTGTTTAAAGGAGTGTTGCTTTGGCTGTCTACATGTTCCCATTTGTACCCAGCTGAAGCTGGTATGAAATGTATATTTTAAAAATGAGGCCGGACATGGTGGCTCACGTCTGTAATCCCAGCACTTTGGGAGGCTAAGGTGAGCGGATCGCCTGAGGTCAGGAGTTCCAGACCAGCCTGACCAACATGGTGAAACCCCCTCTCCACTAAAAATACAAATATTAGCCAGGCACTGTGGTGCACGCCTATAATCTCAGCTCCTCATCCTCAGGAGGCTGAGGCAGGAGAATCGCTTGAACCCAGAAGGTGGAGGCTGCAGTGAGCTGAGATAGCACCACTGCACTCCAGTCTGAGCGACAGAGTGAGACTCTATCTCAATAAATAAATAAATACGAAAAAGGAGCCTGTACAATTTTAATTTCTTTCACTTTATGTATCAAGTAAGACTCATAGGTTTTAGAAACTGGTATATTATATTTTCTTTCCCACGAATGGAGACAATAGAAACACTTGAAGAAATGGGATAAATTTGACAGTACTTTGGATTCTCATAGCAAAAATTGGTAAACTTCAAAAAGCTTGTCTATTTTAAGACTATAGGTATAAACATATGTTTTTCATGCTACAAAGCCTGGAACATCAAGTGATTTTTACTTAGGTTTACAGATAAGGTCCCTGTGTCTGAATTTGAGAATTTTCAGAGGTCTTTCCTATTAAAAACTTTGTACACATTCTTTTTCCCCTTCTTTTCTTCCTTTTCCTTTCTTCCTCCCTCCCTTCCTCTCTGCCTTTCTTCCTTATTTCCACTTGATGTTATTCACCTACATTCTCATTCTCCCCTGATTGTCTCTTCTTTGCTCTCTCTCAGTCTTCTTGGGGTCCCCTTTTCAGATCATTCTCTCCCCTCTTGGGTTTCATCTCTCCACCTTGATCAGTCTCTGAAATCTTCTTGCCTGTTCATGACCTTCTACCTCCAGACACCTGCTATAAGGTGCTACTTAATTTGGAGTTGACTGTGGAAGGATGCCTCAGGTGGACAAAATGACTCCTCTGGGCCTTGGAGGAAGAACCTCTAGAGCCTGTTCTGTTACAGGCCGTGGAAGGACAGAGACAGAAGCACAGGCCCAGGAGCAGCGGCCTGGCAGCCAGCCATGAGGAGCCGCTTTGTCATACCTTAGAAGAAACTTTCAGGCTCCCCAAATGTGTGACACTTCAGTTTTCTCAATCAGAATACAAGAAGGCTTCCCGGAATCTCTTTTTCTAGCACTATAATTTTGTTAGTTCCTTACTGATGGCTTGTTAAAGGAATATTTTACTATATGTCATGTTAGTATTAGTGAAAGATTATAATTCTGTATATTAATACTTTACCTTTGTCAAAACTACCTTCTCTTTCCCCTCAAAAAAGCAAGTACTTTAGTTGTGGGTTTGCCCTCTCTTTTGATAGGACAAAGTACTCTTAATTCCTCAGTAAAGTAGCTGTCATCTGTGTAGGTCGCTAAGCCCAGGTTTTTCATTCTCTTCTCCTTAAGATTTTTTGGGTCTGAACCCCATTTGGGTGGAGATGCCACTGGCATGGAAATTCTTGCTGGTGACCTCACCTGCAGAGATTGTGGGCATGGCACCTGTATATCCATCTGCCGGACTTTGGGTCATGCAGGAAATCCTGTGAAATTCCTGCTCAGGGTTAACCAAAGGGAGCAGCTCTGAAGGGTTACATTCTTCTGGCCAGTCTCCTCCCTTATTAAAATGTGTAAAGAATCCTTTTTAGCCATGAATTCTTGCTGACAGGCTGACCCAGGGTCAGGATGGTGGGTAAAGCTAAGAACATTCCAAGATACATGTGGACCAAAAAAACACATGAAAACTGGTACAGACTTGGTATTAGAAGGGGTCTTAGTGATGCTAGCCCAACCCTTAGAAATGGGATGCCTTTCATATAAAGTAGGGGGTCCCTAACCAATAATATTGACTAAAAGCATGAGCCCTGGAGTTGGACTGGCGTCGATGCAGATCCTGGCCTTGTTACCTATTAGCTATGTGCTCTTGGATCCTAAGCCTCAATTGTTACCCCCATCTGTGAAATGGGGAAAAGAACAGTATCAGCTTTCTAGAGTTTGTATGAGGATTCAATGGGAAAAAGAGTATAAAATGCTTAGTATATTGTCTGGCACACTATAAATATTTATTAAATAACTGTTGATTAATTAATAAATTAATATTGATGAATTCAACATTTTGTATAGTTTCTCCTAATTCATTTTTGAAGGGCATAGAGTTATGCCTTGAATAATGCCCTTGAAACTTTTAAAGTATTAATAAATGAGTCAACTCTACTTTGCTTTTTCTCCTAGGTGAAAAGAAAGGGATTATCTCAGACAGTAAGCCAGGAGGAAAGAAAGAGACAAGAGGTATGTTTCTACCGAGCAGCTGCTTTAGAGCTCTGGAGTGTGCATGTCGGTGTCTGCTTTTTTGTGTTTTCACTTACTGTGTGCACTTGTTTAGTGTTGCCCTTTGAAAATGTATTTGTTTAACAAAAGCAGTAAGTGATCATTTTAATGTAAAGCTACGCATAAGCCCCCAGAAAAGAAAAAATTTTAAATATCTCAACATCACTCAACATCGTTTGATTTTAAACAACAAAGCACCTAGTTCAGGTATTTAAACTGAGAGAAATATGATAAAAAATGAAACCAACATTAGATCTTAGAACTGAAAAAGGATGTTTATGGAAAAACTGATAGTCACGTTAGTCTGTAGACAAATGTAGCCTATTTATGTAAGATACCCTAGGTTAGGGAAAGCTGGATGTAGCATACAAGGGTCTCTGAACCCTTTTTGCAAGTTTTCTATAAATTTAAAATTATACCAAAATAAAAAGTTTATTTAGTAAAAAAAAAAAAAACAGGTTAATAATGCAGTTTTACAACTTGAAGTTTAAATCAATGCAATTTGAGAAAATTGCTTATTGTAATAATATTGTGAAGCTCTCAAAGCATTTTCCTCTTGCTTCCTGCATATTATTGTGTGTGTGTGTGTGTGTGTGTATGTCAATGCATATACATACATATAAATTGATTCCACAAAGGACCCAAGGATGTCCTTTTTTTTTTTTTTGGTTGGCATAGAATAAAGTGAAATACAAGGGTGCAGTATAGTGCCATTTTTTCAAGTTTAAAAAAAATAATAGTATAGAACTTTGGTGTACCCATCCACTGAGAATTAACAAATGTATAACAATCGTAATTTTTCTCCTTTTTTAAAAAGAACATAAAACTGATAGTGTAGAAGGCCTGCATTCTCTTCCTCAGTCCTGTCCTATTCCTTTCCTCCCCAGAGACAACTATAATTATGAACTGGTACATATACTTCCAGCCTGTGTTTTAAAATTATGTATAACATACACACACATATTTGTGCATGTGTGTTAAAATGTATATGTATGAGATTCTATGCATATTTTTTGGTTTTCTGTTTTTTACACTCAACATTATTTTTGAGATTATTCATGTTAATGCATATGAATCTAGATCATTCATTTCAATCATCATATAGTACTCTAGTCTATGAACACCACCTTTAAATATTTTTTATCTATTTTTCCAATGCTGGACAGTAGGTGGGACTTTTTCCTTCATTGTTAACATTGTGACATAAAAATGTTTCCCTCTCCTTGTGGATAAATTTAAAAGCTCCTCCAAGATATTAATCCCATTTGAACATTTTTGTTCTTTTAAACCTTATATAACCTTGCCTATTTCTATCATATTCTGAAAATATTTATTCAGACTTTCTATTCCTATATAGCAATTCCTACCTGCTATATATAACAGGTCTAACCTAATTTGCTTTTAAATAGTTGATGGTATTATTGCAGGATATTTTAGCAATTATTTTATTAAACTTATTATAATAAACTGCCAATTATTTACCTTTTCCTGTGATCTATTATAAATAGTTCATTAAGTCTTTTTGCCCAGTTTGAGTATTTAGATTAGATTACACACTCTCTCCTTGATGTAATCAGAAGTAAGGAGTGAGCAGAGTGGGGGAAAAGAAGGAATGAAGTGACTTTGGACAGCTGTCTGCTGTGACAATTCATTACACACTGAACATCTGTCTGTCCACCCAACTTGAAACATACCTCAAAATTTCTTTCAAGGAATCAAGACAAAAGCCAAATGCATGAGACATTATAACCCTAAATGGCTTCCTTTGGAGATAACAAAGGGCTTATTTGTTTATGCCCTTCAGGAACAAAAGAAATTATTTAAAATGTTGAATTCAGCAATATTAATTTTTGTTCTCAAAACCCTCAATTATCACTTAATCACATTAATCAGTTAGCATAGTACAGCATTGAAGAAGTGAAAAATGTCTTTGCTGTTGCAAATATTTTAAGTAATTCCAAGGCATCGTATACATCAACACCTGAAATCCATTATTTATGGTCCAGAAGGGAAATTTTTCTTTAATTCGCTTTGTGTATAGTTTTTGGGGGTTATTGTATTGATTGAAAAAATTCAATACGCAGGTTAAATGAGACTCTTAACATTCTTACTCTTTACTCTTCAGATAGTTACATCACTTAATTTCATGAAATACAACTGAGGCTAGATTAGCACATTTAAGTAAGACCCAAGTCCCTAAACCTTACGGAAGTTAAAAGTGGAGGTGAGCACTGAGATTAGCACTTCTAACCTGATTTATAAAATATGGAGCACCCATCAGCAGCTGGGTGTCCACCTGCTTGTGCCTTTCCTGCTCCCACCCAGCCACAGTACCCTCTGCTCTTTGGGGCAAGGACTTGAAGGGGTGGAGCCCTGGAGATCAGGGTGATGAAGACAGAATTACCAGGGAGCTTTCCAGGAAGGCTGTGAATCTTAGGCCTGCATTTTCCCTATATCCCTTTTTAGAGGATCTGAATTTGATTTTGTTAAGGATCTAGATGAATTCCTTACGCAGGGCATTGGAATCTTATCCACATATGTGGGTTGGTATTTCATCATTAACAGTTATCAGGAAAACCACTGTGTGCCTGCCACTGAGAGTCTCTGCAGAGAGTCCTTTGCTCCTTCTTGAGACATTGATGAGAGTAGAGAATGTGACTTGTTGAATAGATGGAATTACTTTCAATTGTATGAGTTTATATAAAAGAATTCCTGTGGTTGATAAGAACCTTTTGAGGGTAGACACAGTCATACCAGAATATTTGCTGTTATTGACTGAAAATTAGTCAGATTAAGCATAGGGAGAGGAAGAGTGTGACACACAAGAGGGAAGGGAAGGAAGGTGTGAGAAATTTTCTCTGAATCTCAAGAGATGACCATAAATCCTTACTGTCCCTAAAGCAGCATGCTTTGAAAGCAGGGCTGGAGGAGATGACCCCAAAGGTTAATTAATGTCTCACTGAGATTTTATGACATGCCCTCGCTTCCTTCCATAGATTCTACCCCTTGGCAAAGGCATGACCTCAGGATGTGATGTCAAGTCATCCACATGATTTCATTTTTTTCATATTTACAGATAGTGATTATTTTTTAAGATTTGGGTAAATGTATATTATATAAAGAGAGTAGTTTTGTGATGTTGTTTCTTTAATGTTCTTTTTGTACTTTCCAAGATACTATACCTGAAAAGTGGAGTATCTTGTTATTCTTACAGCAAAATTATGAGAGCTATATTTAGTTCTTTAATTAAAAGAATTAATAATACATTTCTTTTTCCTTCTTACCAGGCTATCTTTGAAGTCATATCCTCTGAACATTCATATTTACTCAGCTTGGAGATCTTGATACGAATGTTTAAAAATTCTAAAGAACTGAGTGATACAATGACTAAAACCGAGAGGCACCATCTTTTCTCCAATATTACAGATGTCTGTGAGGCAAGCAAAAAGTAAGTGCACTGCAGTCTGCCTTTGGTCGTGCCAAGAAGTTGCGTACTAATAAACACTTTGTTATCTCTAAAGGAAGGCATTTCTGGTTATCAAGTCTCATTCAGTTGGCTTTTGTCTTGATTCCTTGAAATACATTTTGAGATATGTTTCAAGTTTGGTGAATAGACAGATGCTCAGTGTGTAATGAGTTGTCACAGCAGACGGCTGTCCTAAGTTATGTTATTCCTCTTTCCCCACTTTGCTTGCTCTTTACTTCTGATTACATCAAGGAAAGTGTCTTCGTTTGGTGCTAGTCTGTGATATTCATCCATTTCAGTAAAGAAAGAGTAAGCCTTAGGCTTAGGTCTTCTGCAGGCAATATCTGGCTACGATTTAATAATATATATTTTCATTATATTTAAGGATTTTTGCTTTACTTTTTGTCATGAAGAGTAGATAAAATCATATAATAAACTTTTATACATTCAAAACTTATATTTAGCAATTGTTAAAATTTTCCATATTTACTTATCTATTATTTTTGCTTAATTTTTTTCCAAGTATATACATTGGATGTTTTACTTATAAATGCTCCAGTATTCAGCTCTTAAGAATAAGGTTATTTTCTTACATAACTACACTGTTGTGGTTATACTTATGATGATGCTTTTATGATTTTATTCCATTTAAGTTTTGTACGTGTAAGTAGTAGAGTCACATGTTGCAAAATTCCAAAAATATGAAAGATCCTACAGTAAAATGCCATTCATATACTGTTCCCTGGCCACCTGAAACACAACCAGAGTCAACATTTGTTTCTTGTGTATCTTTTTAGTAATACTTTATGATTATGTAAGAAAATACATGTATATATATATTTTTCTTGTTTTTACTTAAATGTTACCATACTATAAACACTGTTCTGCTCCTTACTTTTTTTTACCTCTATCCTGGAGATTATAGCATGTCTGCACATTAAAACTTTCCTTATTCATTTTTATGTTTTTTCCTTGCAATTATTTGTTGAAGAAATCCGGTCATTTGTTCTGTAGAATTTCCCATGAGGCACATAATTTATGGGTGGTGATCAATACCAGATCCATTAATTCATTAAGGATTGTAAAACAGTGTTACTCTAATTTATCGTTCTTTATTCATTTATTAGCTGAAATATTTCTATAAAGGGAAAGGTACATCCATCTATTCATATATTCAGTGGTAAAGTTCACGTTATTCTATTTATTAGTGCTCAAATTGTTCCATCTTTGATCTTAACAATTTTTGATTATTTTCTTGCTATATGACATTTTAAGATGTTAAAGGATCATGTTTTACAATTCCTGCTCCAGGCCTGGAATCAACCATTTCCCCAAAGAGCTCTGGTGTCTTTTGAAATGAGGTGGTATTTAAAACCTCAGTGAGTACCAGCGTGCTCATTGCTAAGTGGTTTTAGGCTGTTTCAGTAGATACCCAGAAAAAAAATCCAAATTTTTCTCTATAAAACTAGATATATTAAAAGCCCATAGACACTCCAAATTTATCAAAGTATATATATTAAATAGGTACTTTTTTATGTATCAATTATACCTCAATAAAGCTTAAAACATAAAGAAGAAAGTCTAGTTTCTATTCTTGTCCCCTCTATCCTATTCTCTTCCCATATAGATACTCTTAAATAAGTTGTTTATCTTTGTTTTTTAAAATAAGCATATGCATATGCTTATGTATATGTATTCCCCTCACTTTCTTAGATAAATGAAAGCATATTCTACTTATTTTTCTCAGCCTCTTTATTCATGTAACAACATATATTAGAGGTTACTCCATAGTAGTTTATGGAGATGTTTTACTCCTTTCTCCAGCTACAATAATTATCATCGAGTAACTGTGTAGTAGTTTATTCATCCAGCCGCCTATCTGTATGAGCATTAGGATTATTTTCAGTCTCACTGTTACAGATAGTTTTTCTTTGTGCTTACACCCTGCTATATATTAGCCATTCTATCTTTGAGATTTTCTAGAATTAGGATTGCTAGATCAAAGGGTAAATGCGTATACTATTTTGTAAGATACTGCCAAATTCTTCTTCAAAGAAATTGTACCATTTTGCAGTACCACCAAGAATAGATGAATGCTTGCTTCCCCAGAGTCTTTCTAGCAGAGTATGTCAACAAACCTTTAGATTTTTGTCATCTAACCTTTAGATTTTGTCTGATAGGTAAGGAGGATTATCTGAGCATAGTTTTAGTTAGCATTTCTCTTATAAGCTTTTCCATATGAATAAGAGCCATCTGGAACATAGTATGTGTCAGTAAAATATTACTAAACTAATAATATTCCTCTATGATGTTGGAACAATTTAAAATTTGAGATAAGCACTAACATTACATCAACAAAAGTCAAGGAAGGAGAGGTTTTCTAATGCTCGCTGAAACACAAGAATATTTGCTTTGACTAGATCAGCAATGTTAACATGTAAGATTGGCTTAGCTAGTGAAAGAGAATTATCTGCTTAATAAGAAGGAGAGGGAAAACGTATTAGCATTTTTTTTTCTGCTCAAAAAGTTAGAAGCTGTTAGAGGCATCTTATCTGAAAAAGTTAATACAAGTAGAAATGATGAACATAACTGAATTTATCAAATACCAAAATATTAGAATCCAGGGTATTCCTTGAGGCTTGAAGGACGTGTACGTTCATTTATTTAGTTATTATTTTAGTTATCTTTTATGGAATACTTATAATTCATACCAAGCATTATGTTGTAGCCTTTTCAATAGAGTATGTATGTATCCTTAAATAGACTGCCCTCAGTGAACAAAGTCTTAGGAGAAATAACAAAAGTATAATGTAGTTCATGGTTAGTAGGCATGTAAAGATCATCACTCTAAGAGGCCAGGAAAACTGAAGGAAAATTCTAAAAGGACTGTAATAGAAATATGGTTTTAGTTTAATAAGCTATGTATACCTATATAATGTACGATTATTTAACCAATAAAATGCTTTAAAGGAATATTTAATAATATGGACTTTAATATATTCAGATTTTAAAGCAGGTCTAAAGAGTGGGATTTCATATTGTTCTAGATTTTAATTATTTGAAAGGTAATTTATCAAAACATAAAGGATAATTATCTTTAATGATAGAATTATGAGTTATTTTAATTTCTGTCTGTGTACTTATCTGTAGTTTCAGCATCTGCAATAAACATAATGTAGTTAGAAAAGGAAACACAAGGAAATGAGAAACAAGCAGTAAGAAATATGAGCCCAGAATAAAACAGGGGAGGTCACTGGATATGGCTGACAAATTCATAATTGGTTAACCTTGAAATAAGTCATTTTATTTAAAGTATAGACTAAAATTTTACTTTAATTTCAGTCATTTACAAAATTCATTTAAGGTTTTATTAAAAATTTTATCTCTGTCATAGCTTATCGTAAGGGGCTATTTTGAACATTTTTGTCTATTTTTTATTTAAAAAAGAAAACAGATACTTTTCATCCTCCATTAAAAGAAAAACAAAGAAATATCTGTATTCTTTACATTTTTATTTTGTTTTCACTTCAAATGCAATGCTTTAATATGGATATCTGCCTTTGTAATAATTTGATCTCTGTTATATTTCAACTAGGAATGTTCAGCTTTTACATGATAACTCTGTCTATATCATAATAACTTACATTACAAAAGTGTTTTTGATTTAGTTTGAAACACTCATTTCAGATACAGCCTTTTTGAAATTCAAAGTACTCAGAAGATTTATTTGCAAAGGCTATTTCATGATGTAAGGCCTGCTTGTTGAACTTCAAGAGTGACACCCAAGTGTTGGTAACTACTTAATGTATTACTCATGAAAGAGTTTGCAGTCCCAAGAAAATGCGAAATAAAATCTTGAGTAAAATAAATGATCAGTGTCTGAATTAGATATTACAGAGTAAGCATGGTATTGTTAAGTATGTCATAACCAGGGCTATCTTCATTGTTTTACTTTTACCTAATGAAAAATTATAGCTATAGGTGATGACATATTCAATATAGGTTGCGGTCAGAACATCCTGGACATCCAAATTAACAGTGTGTTGTCTAGTCCCCTGTATTGTGGCTTAGGTTGTTGACTGCCAATAAATAACACTAAGATTTATGTAAGTTGACACTATTTGAAAACAGACAAGCAGGGACAACGATCATTCTGACTGTGTGTGTGTGTACGTATGTATCAGTAGTATGTCTCTGCAAAATTCTTTTCTTCTTTTAAAACATTTCTCATTTCAGTTAACACTTAGGGCCTCCTATTCTGCAAGGCTCCTAAGTTCCAAAGCATTTCAGCTGGTGGCATCTCCCCAGGGGCCGTTGGTTCTTGGGACCCATGGTAGTTGGCGAACACCTCCAATGTATTTGCAGAGGCGTTTTAGGGCACTTTCCTTGAAATGGAAAGGCTTGGGTTTGGCTGGAGGTTATGGGTTTAAAGGCCCTTGGTGAAAATCAAAGGAGAGCATGAGAGCAGATGTTCGTGAAGGCCATTATGTGCCCTGCTGAGGCATTTTCACCATTTCCTAAAGCCTATGTGGAAACATTTATCAATTAAGTAGGGGACTGATTTTGTGGCATTGTAGAGAACAGTATGGTGTTTGTCTTAGCAGAGAGGTGAAAATGTTAAAAGATTTGAGGCAATTGAAGTAACACAGCTAGCTAGGGTGGAAACTGACAGGGGCCTCCAAGGGATATTGAGAGATATTTAGAATATGGACTCTTGAGGACTTGCTGAAAAGGCGGGGTCCTCCTAGGTTTGCCTCCCAGGTTTCTACCTGGTTGACTATCATTGGAAATTGTATTAACCAGGATATAAGAGAAACAGATTGGGGCTTAGGGAGGGAGACAAGGAATTCAGTTTGGGGCATTTTGCATTTGAGTGCCTGGAACATGAGAGTAAGGTATTTAGTTAAAAAGAGAAAAGCAGGTTAGAACTACAGAAAAATCTTCAGTAGGGATGTCAATTTGAGTCACAGAGGTGGTTCTTGTCATTTTAAGTTTAAATGAGATAACTACAACTTGTAGCAGTGGTTTGTAAGCAGTGGTGGTGGTATTTACCCCCTAAGGATACTTGGAAATGCATTTTTGGTTGCCCCAGTAGACTTGGGGGGCTCTATTGACATTAGTAGGTGGGGGCCAGGGTGCCAGGCATCCTACACTTAGTAGGACAGTCCCAGATAAGCCTGAATTGTCCCACCCAAATGCCACTGAAGCCCTTTTTGAGATGCATGGAGTAAAAAGAAGACGAATGTCAGAATTTTGACAAAGAAACATTTAAGGAGCCTGTGGGTTGGAACAGAAATGAGTTAAATAGGATAAGAGGAATTGCACAGTGTGCATGGATCTTAAGTCCTTTGGCTGTAAAGGGTTTGCCTCTCTTATTAACACCTTCCTGTTACTCTGTCTCTTAGTGCCATGGCCTAACAATTGTTTGTTTTCTAACCCTCCTTAAAAGGAGTATTTGGGGAGTTAGAATCCTACTGATTGTTTTTACCCTGCCTAAGAAGGGTGACACACTTTCCTTTTGCATGGAATGATTAGAGCTAAATTCTTTAAATTTAGGTAGTACCTAGATGACTTTGGGTCAGTGTCAGGGAAAAAGGCTTTGACTTCCAACTCTACTTCCTTCCTGTTTAACTGTACCAACTTCTTCCCTCTGACTCAAATTCATGAGCTTTTCCTGGTTTCATGATCTCCTTGTCTTTTAAGGACCTCGGCTATCTTAAAAGCCTGATCATCTCATGAAAAATGGAGTATTTGATATCATCTTTCAATTAGAAATGAATAGGCTTAATTCATAACTAAACATCACACATAGTATATACTTTGCATATTTTCATATTTCCTTTGATTTTTTTTTGGTTCTTCCCCTACAAAATCTACAAAAATCTATGGTTACTTAGGATAATTTATAGATAATCCCTGTGTTAATATAAAAAGACCTATAAATGTGATTAACTTACAATGATTTGCAACAGAATATGATCTAACACCAATTGTTTTTAAATTTAAGATACATCCCTATTAAAAGACTGATACTATTAGGAAAGAAAATTGTCTTTTGTAGAAGACTGAATGTTAACCCTTCTCCCATATTTAGAAACTCTAAGGTCTAAATAAGGTCTTTTGTGTTAAAAAGTTTTCTGCAAAATGAAAATTAGATGAGTCTTTGCTTTGATGTTTCATAAAAAGATGGGTTTTTACTCTCAATTCTGAGTTTTCATTCTAAATACCTAGGTTATGTTAACAGTCTTTCATTTAATTTTTTTCAATAACAGAGTGTGCTGTTATTAGTACCCTATAAAAATATGCTACTGAAGACCTTTGCAAGGTACTTGTTTCTCTTTTTCCAATTACAAAGTTAAAACATTGGTATTCTTTGGAAAGCCATTTAAAACTAAAACTATGCTTGTCTTCAATTTCTGCAGAGTAAAGTAAAAATATCCATCAATGTGCTTTTGTGTCCTGAGGAACTGAATTTGTTCCCAACATATAATGAGCAGTGAATGCCAAATTCTCTGGTTTCTGCTTTGTGTAGCAGAGTAAATTACAATAATAGTAAACATACAAAATAGTACTTACCCCGCACTTGCTTCTCCAGAAGTTTTTTCCCTAATTTTAATCAAACTCTATTAAAATTGAAATGTCATATGACATTAAAAACTACCTTACATGCACTTGCTTTAATATTATTTTATGAAATGAGTTCATATTACCAAAAAATGACAATTTATGTAAATAATAGTATAGCATATCTGCATTATGAAATACGTTTCTATTTGGTAATTAAAATTCTAAACTTTAATGCATAAGCAAATAACAGTAAACCTTCAAAAGTCTTTTATAGTATGAATATTAAAATTTTAACTTTCCTGACTAATTCTTAAAGCTAAATTTTAAAGGAAAAACACATTAAATTTAACTAGGCCAGAGAATATGGAACATTTTAAGTTGTAGAACCTGTTTAATTTTTGCCCTGAAGTAATGGCTGTTGCTATTTTTGTTAGCAAATGTTATTTTCTTACTCCATATATACTCAAGATAAACTTACCCCAGAGTCTTTGGTAAACAAAGCCATTACCTTATTTTCCTGAATATAACAGAGAAACTTTATTCTTTCTAAAATCAATTTCTTCAACTGACAGTTGAAAGACAGTGACATTCAGAAGCCACTCTTTATGTCACTTTTTGACTGTTTCTCTATCCTGAGATTAATGACAAAGAAGTTTATTTGAAATTCACCCGAAGTATTTTCACAATACTTCAAAGTAAGTCTACGTGAGTATTCTAGTCCATGTTGTTCAGCTCTTATCAACAACCAGTGTCTGGAGTAATAGTAAAAGAAATAGGTAGTTGTTTAGGTATTATTTCAATAAAGAAAGAAAAACTAGTGATGTTTTAATAGATGCAGTCCTTTGGATAAGACCTCAGGAAAGCAGTGTGGGATCTGAAGTCTTTGTACAATTGAACAGGAGGCCAGTTAAAGATGACTGATTAGAGACATGCACTGTATTCATTCTCTTCTAAAAATCCCAGTAAAAATGATGGGAAGGTCAATACACAAGGAAAAAGAAAATAAGAATGAGACAACAGCTACAATATTTTGGAACCTGAAAAACCTGAGATGGTTGTCCAGTAATGCAGGAAAGTTTAAATCTAGACTGGTAGTGAGGAAAACCAAGGATCAACCAGATTGAAATCCCAGAACCTCTGAAAGGTGGTGCATTGATTGATTGATTGATTGGTTCTTCCTTCACAAATCTATGGTTACTTGGAGTAATTTATAGATAATTGCTGTGTTAATAGAAAAAGACCTATAAGTATGATTAACTTAATTAATTTGGTCTAGGACTAGGTTAAAGGTAATTCCTAGGTGCAGGAATTGATGATGAAGTTGGGTAAAGGTGTGACTAAAACTGCAAGTTTCATGCAAATCTGTTTGAGAAGTAGTCAGATCCTAGATCCCCTCTTTGGCTCTACCCAGCAAGATGATGACCCTCTTTACCCCAGCAGCAGGGCAGCATTGGTGAATACTGGACCAGGAGACCCAGGACCACATAAGAAGGGGACTGTTGTACAGGAAACGAAGGTATAGTGGCAGTTGGCACCCACAGCCTTCTGCGCTACTCTCCTTTTGGAATGCTGGTAGCCAGGTTTGTGTGTGTGTGTGTGTGTGTGTGTGTGTGTGTGTGTGTGTGTGTACACTTTGTCCCTTTTCTGTCAAATAGTGATTGGCATAGTATAGGTTAAGTAACATTTTATCATCTTTGTTAATGGATTTATGTTCAAATACATTATTATTAACATCATTATTAGGTTTTGCAGGAAACAATAAGTTGAGTATTACAGCAGAAATATAAAAAGCCTCAAGAAATATCCATTTTAGTAACATGTTAGGCAAGTACTTGTTGACTTTAAATCTTAAGTTTCTTTCTCATTTAATAAGGATGATAGTATACTTAACCTTATAAGATTGTTTTGAGGATTAAATGATATACATAAAATGCTTAGCATAACACTAGACAAGTTCTTTAGTAGCAATTATTTTGTTGATGTTATTACTAAATGATTTTTATCATCTATGTCTGGTATTCTGAAATGTCTCTGGATTTTGTATTTGTTGACTTTTGTAAATATATGCCTCTGCCAGCATTGGTCTAGGACTAAATTAAAGAATAGGTCTTGTTTTATGCAGCATCTAGTGCAATGGTTTGCATGAGTTTATTTTTAAAGGTAGTTGTGGCACAATATTACATTTTAGCAATCATCTTTATTTTGACATTGAGTGAATCAAAGTAAATAGATTCTTCCATAATCATAAAGAATTAATTGTGACCTAGATTAGGACTAAAACCTGAGCTATTTTTTCCAACCAGCCTGGTGTTTTCTTTGTGAGTGGTAGATTCCTTGAATCAGTGCTTCAGAGCAGGCCCTGGCATGCTTCAGCTGCCAATTAGACCATTCTCCTGGTCACTTTTTGCAGGCATTTGGACCCATTATGTTCTTTTTGCATTGCCTTTACAAATTCTAAGTCTGTGGATTCTGAGTTGTCACATGGAGATTTAAACTTGGATAATGAGCCTGGTTGGGACAGACTAAAGTGTTACCTACTTAGTCATTAGCTGTTATCAATCTTAAACTAGGGTAGAATTTTGTGGAAAAAGAAACAATGACTGGGGTTTGGTTGCAGTGTTTCATCTGCATTGCATTTATAGCTGTGGATTTTGAACCATTACATGGATTTTTGACTCTGCCAGTTGTGAGTAAAACAAGCAGGACCACACAGTTTTTCTGGCTGATGGAAAAGATTTTAATTTAAACTTTGTATTCTAGCCAAGTTAAAGCTAGCACTTGATTTAAGTGGAAGGGAGATGGTTGATGAATTAAGTTTCAAAAGCAGACTTTTTAAAGCCTTCTAATTGCTTATCATAGGATGTTGCCTCTAATTGCTGTGCATTAATTATTAGCATCTGGGCATCAATTTTGTGTTTCTCCAAAAACTTTTCTTATTTCATCTGATTTAATCCTTAATAGCATGCTGTGAAGTATGCCAAATCCTTGAGTAATGTTGTTTTGCTATAATGTTGATGAGGGGAAAAATGGATTCCCAGCCAGGGCCATTGCATGTGTGGAGTTTGCATGTTCTCCCGGTGTCTGCGTGGGTTTTCTCCAGGTAGTCAGGTTTCCTTCCACCTCCCAAAGATGTGCACATTAGGTGAATTGGCGTGTCTGTGGCCCCAGTCTGAATGAATGTGGGTGTGTGAGAGTGCACTGTGATGGAAGGGTGTCCTGTCCAGGGTTGACACTTACCTCGCCCCCTGAGCTGCCGAGATAGGCTCTGGCCAGGTGTGACCCTGAACTGGAATAAGATGCTTGGGAAAGGAATGAATGAATGAATGCAAATGATTATGAAATATAAATTTGTATTATATATGATAATCATACAAATGCACTATAATAAACGATGCTTTTAGAAAGCGCTCATTGAGCCGCCGTATTTGTGATTGTTTTTGAACCGCATGATGGTAGGAGGTGCTCCTTCCAATTTTCACTTTGCAAACATTTATACCTTGATTTAACCCACTGCTGTCACTCACTGATTCACCAAAAATTGGGTAAATAATTGTCTTACTTGTTTTTACTTCTCTTTCTTAAATGTATATCTAGCTTACATTTATTTCAGTGTTTAATATTAGAAGTGTTTTGAGTGTTTATTTAGAAGTTTGGTGATTTTCTTTTTGACCAGAAATATCCTGTAGGAACTTAACTTTTGTTTATATCAATGAGCCTTTGGTAAAATTAGTTTAGTTATACATCATTTCACTTAGAGTCACAGCCCCCAAAACCTATCAACAACATTGTGTGGACTTACTGTACTACCATTTCCCTTTTGTGGGTAAGGAGACTGAGGCCCAAATTAGTTACGTGGATTTGTTTAAAGTCATTCACCTAACTGGAATTGTACCTAGTGAGTTTTTTGATTCTTCATAATGTATTGGCATAGACTGTTTGTTCAAAAATACATATATATTGTAAGTGCAGTTAAGGGTTCAGTCTACAGAACTAAATTTTAATTTAAATTTTAATCTGCCAGGGATTACACATCTGGAAAATTATTTGAACTTGCTCCTGTTGGTGTACATCACCCATGGAGCTAGTCAGACGGAGTGATGAGATTTTTATCTCATATTTGAATGTCTTTGACCTCTTAGAATATGGAGACTTAAAAGCAAAGAGCATCTTGTTTTCTGTGGCACAGCTCTGTGGCACATCATAAAGGTCATTGTCTTATTTTCTCATGGACATTGTTCCCGAAGTGAAGAATATTGTCCATATCTTTAGCATAAGCAGTCTGTGAATGTGTCCCAATGGTTTGGCATTGCAGTATTCTCTAGAAATAACCTAATTGATTATAAAAGTATCCCATAATCTGAAGTGTGTGGAGTTTGTATTTATTAACTTTTGCATGTATGCTGTCTATGTACTTTCCTCAGATTAAAAAAATACCCAAATAACATACACTACCCTCCTTAAACTACTTTACAGTGATTTGAGGAAGAAAAGAAAATGTATGTTTGGAAAGTGCCAACTTAATTCAGGTTGTAATTTTCTGCTTTTTGGTCTAAAAAATCTGTTTTCAAAATAAACTTTTGTAGAAAATGATTTTGCAAGTCTTTTTTTAGGACTTAAAGAATTTCTTATATCTTAGGTGCTGATATAAATACTGAGCAACCTCACAGCAAAATATTTTAATTTTTTAGAGTATCAACTTTATGTAAAAAAGCTGTGAAAATATGATTTTTAAAAAAAATTTTGAAATCACCTATATGCTAAGAAGAAGGTGAAGACTGTTTTAGTATTAATTCAGTATATTATTACCATTCTCTAATTGTTTTAAGGATGTGGATTAAATCATGTAAGCCTTGTTTTTTAATTTTAAAAATATATTTATAAAAAATATCCTGAGGAACATATGATGAATGGTATTTGTTAAAGAACTTAATAGATACTTTATACAGTGTTTCCTTTGGATTTCAAAAAGGTTTCGGGAAATGACTTGGACTTTGAAAAAAATTTTGGTGGAAAGGTTCCATAGAAATGTCAAGATTGGCTAAGATTGACCTTGTCACTTGTGGGGGATTCAAACAAAGGTCCCTTTGTAACAAGAAAAACTGTCTCTGTATTGGGAGTTCATTGGAATTTCTTTTCTAGCAGAGAAGAGTAATACGAATGACCAGAACAGGGCACAATAGGAATGTTTGTGTTCATCTGCTGAAGTTGTCCTGTGATGTAGCTTCTACTTCTTATTCTCTTGAGTCTTGTATATATTTGATACACACTACTTAGTTATAAATATTTAGGTGTACATTTGTGAATGTTTTTAGATAGCTCTGAAAAAATCTGCTGTGAATAAGATGCTTTCCAAGAAATCCTCAGCAAGCGTTCTTACAAGTTGAGATTTTACTTGAAGGCATTCAGTTGAAAAGAAAGCTGGAGTGATTAAGTTATGAAATTATTCTCTTGGATTTATCTAAGTGGCATTAAGGATTTTTAGGAAGACTGGTTTAAAAAATGTATGTCACAGGTATAGATTTAATTATTTTATCTTTGATTTTTGGAGGATCTCATATGGTCGTTTGAGAATCTGTGTTTTTCAGGTTTTAAAAATATTAAATATGGGAGGAGTTTGGTTTACCTCACTTATGCTTATGCCATTCCTAGGGGTCACTGTATGCCTCCTGTTTTGAACCTTGACTTATTTTTTAATCCTTTTTCTTTTTTCAGTCTTCCTGGCCAATACCCAGTTTACTTTCACAAAGCTGCTTTTGTGATTGTAATATAATTTTATTTGTCCAGAATATTATTTTACCACTGTTTTAATAAATTTAGAGATCAGGATATCATTTTATTAATATTTCAGAGAGAGAGACACTAAGTGATTTTCTGTTACTTATGGAGTACCTTTTCCAACTTAGAATGGGGAAAACAGTATAATTATTTAGAACTAAGATACGTTTTCTCTGCATGCTGTTGAATAAAGCATATTTTTCCGGACTCTTTGAAGACCCCAATATTTGGAAACTCAGGTGTTCAAACTGGAGAAACTTGCCTGCCTTTATCTATTTTATTCCAGACTTTCCTGGCATGAACTAATTACCAACTTTGAATACTAGTTTTTATTGATCACATTTCTTTTTCCTGAGACCTGCATAAGGAATGTTAATCTCATCCTTAGACAGATCACTTTGTCCCTCTGCATGTCAGCTGCTAAATGAACTTTCCATCAGCATGGAACTAATGTTTATCGGAATAACTAAATAATCTAAAACCAGGGCCCTAAGGTTTCACTTGCTGTGAGTCTGTTATCACCAGCTCACACTGGAGAATTCTTTTTCGTACCATTGCTTTTTCTAAACAATAATTTCTATCCATGGTATGTGGATTTGGAAGTTAGTCTTTTAGAGACTTAGCTTTGCAGACATTACCTTAGGCTCAGAAGTCTGACTTAAATCAGGGTCTGGATGTAGTGAAAGCCTCCTGGGGATGGTTTGAAAAAATCTAGCTGTACATGTTGCTACAGTATTTATTTATATCTATTTTTATTTTTTATTTTTGAGACAGAGTCTCGCTCTATTGCCCAGGCTGGAGTACAGTGGCGTGATCTTGGCTCACTGCAGCCTCTGCCTTCCATGTTCAAGCGATTCTCCTGCCTCAGTAGGAGAATCTACTACTCCTACTGGGACTACAGGCACATGCCACCATGCCTGGCTAATTTTTTGTATTTTTAGTAGAGACGGGGTTTCACCATGTTAGCCAGAATGGTCTCGATCTCCTGACCTCATGATCCGCCCGCCTTGGCCTCCCAAAATGCTGGGATTACAGGCATGAGCCACTGTGCCCAGCCAGTATTTATTTTTAATGTGGGAAAGAGTTGCTAGAGGTAGCAAACATATGAATAACCTGAGGATAGGAAGGTAACGTATGAAAATGGTTTTCTGAGAGGGAACGTTCATGCTCTGAAAAACAGATGGAGCAGAAAGCTTTATAAAGAAGCTGCCTTTTCCTTTCCTCTGGAATTGTTGAACAACATCTTTGAGGGAAACATGACATAATATTTTGATAATTTTAGTGAGTGTATGTATTTGAGCAAGGCTGGTATTGAGTTGTAGGCTGTTTGGCATGGTAAAAGTTTGAATTCTCCAGAGCTGCTTTTAATCCATTTGCAATGCCTGTGTTTTTTCTTGTGAGCAGTGTGTATCCTCATCAGGGGCTGCCTCAATGCTTATCCATCTGGAGGAGGCTACTCAGCTTTAATTAAAGAAACAGTGGTTGAGAGGGTCCGCCTACAACCACTGAAAGTAATAAATGTACATGGTGTAAAATTCAAATACTGCCAAAAAGTATGCACTGAGAAACAAGTCCCCCTGTATGACTGGTTTGGGGCGTAGCTTCCAGAGATACTCTCTGCACATACAAGTACAGTTTTTTTAATACGATGATTGCCTACCATACACACTGTATGCACCAGTACCTATTTACTTTTAGTCCATCAAACAGCCAGAGTCTTAAGAATAACACCGAGTATAATTTTTTAAAATCTTTGTATGCTCCCCAAATAAGCCCAAGTTTTCTTTATGTAGTTTCTTCTACTTAGGAACTTTAAATGAATAGGTCCACATGAGTTATGGACTTTATTGTGAAAATAGTCATTGCTCTGAATATGGGATTCTTATTGAGCATTACATCTGATTCCTTGATAAAATATTTTAGGATGAGAGCACCTACTGTGTACCAGGCACTGTGCTAGGCATTGGAAATGTAACAGTAAGCTTGACAAGCGAGGTCCTTGTCCTTGAGACCTGGTGGGATAAACACACACAGAACAGATGCCTGAGAAACAGAGTATTCCTTAAAGTAGGACCTTGGCCTGGATGGGGGAACTGAGGAAGTGACCTTTCCTTACCGCTCAATCTTCTTTCCTTTCCTCCTTTGTCAAATTAATCTCATTAGATTAATAGTCTTTATCAGATGTTTTAATTCAAATATAATTCAGTCTAGTCTCTAGATATAGAAATGCCATACTAGTCACATGTTAATTGTTTTATATTTGCAAGTAACTTCATTAAATGGGCACCTGGGATGTATGGAACAGCTTAATAAACCAACATTTCTGCACTGTAGTTAAATTGATCCTTTAGCTACAATATGAAAATTTTTATTTAAAGAAAAACAGAGCCTGGATTATGTCACAGTGCAAAATACGAAACATATTTCTAGTTTGAATGCATAATTCTTGGATTTCCCTGCCTCTGAATGATTTCTAAATCTGGAAGATTTGGATCCTGTCAATTTATTTAGCTTACGGAAAAGTCATCTGATCTATACTTCAGGTTCATTAGAAACTCCTTTTACATCATGTCCTTAGGTAACAGTTTTATGAAAATTTCTGTAACTCATGATTGCAGTTTTGTTCTTACAATCTCCAGGTATTTTATTTAAAAATAAGAAATAAAATTGTACAACCTATCAACTGTGTGATCATTAGCTTGATTAAGATATAGCTCACCTGCTGTTAATTTATTTATCTTAGTAAGCCATGTGGTGTGCATGAGCTTATTTTACTCTTTCACTTTGTTCTGTGATTAATAAACTACTTCCATGGAATTTTGGGATTGAGTTTAGAGGCCATATATCCCATTCTGTAATTTACAGATAGTATCCCAGATCTCACAGCTAATTAGAATTAGAGCTAAGGCTAGAACTCAGGACTTCTGACCCATTTTATAGGAAAGGGTGGTTCACTGTGTTTTTAGTATGTTATATATTTACGTGGCTTAAAAGTCCAAAGAGGCTGTACACGTTGGCTCACGTCTATAATCCCAGCACTTTGGAAGGTGGGGGTGGGTGGATTGCTTGAGCTTTGGAGTTTGAGACCAGCCTGGGCAACATGGCGAAACCCTGTCTCTACAAAGTATACAAAAATTAGCCAGGCGTGGTGGCACATGCCTGTAGTCCCACCTACTTGGGAGGCTGAGGTGGGAGGATCACTTGAGCCCAGGAGGCAGAAGTTGCAGTGAACCGAGATCACTCCACTGCACTCCATCCTAGGTGACAGAGACTCTCTGTGTCTTAAAAAACAAAAACAAAAACAGAAAAACCCAAAAATGGCCAAAGATTATCAAATAGCATCTGTTTATATACTGAGAAGCCCAGACGCGTTGACTCTGTTACCCTTCACCTTCTGTTGATGTATTATATTAGTTGTCTTGTTTATCCTCCTAGCATTTCCTTATGTAGATACAGGCAAATAAAAATGGTTTCTTATTGTCCCACTTTTCTTTAAAAACAGCGTGCTGACTGTATATGCGATTCTGCCACTTTTTTTTTTCTCTCAAGAAAGTTTAAATTTAAGCTCCTGAAAAAAGTCAGTGTGCCTACAGATACCACTTTATTTTGTCCACTTAGATCAGAACTAGGTTGCTATCTTTAGCTTAATTCTAGCATATGAGAAATGTGAGATAGTTCTATGAAGACTGTAGTGAAAAAAAAAAGATTAGAAATGTAAAGTACAAGGTGGGAAATTATTGAAATTGCTATTATTTAACCCAAAGAAGAAAAAGTTTGGGCATTATTACTTTATAGATGAGGAAAGGGGAGGCTCAGATGGAGGTAAAGTACCTTACCCACAGTCACCCAAGCACTCGGAGTCTCAATGGGGGCCTGCACTCAGATTAGCCTGCCAGTATTGAAGTCTCAATTCCTCATCTGCTACAGGAGCCTGATACATTTGTGAGTGACAAGTATAGTCGATACTCATTATTTGCGGATTCCATATTTGCAAATTTACCTATTTGCTAAAATTTATTTTTAACCCAAAATCAATACTTGTGGTTTTATGGTCATTCACAGTCATGCAAGCAGAGCAGCAAAAAAAAAAATGTGTTTCCTGACACGCGTGTTTCCAGCTGAGGTTGAACAAGGCAGTCTCTGCCTTTTCTTATACTATAAACAAGTGTCCTTCTGATGGTCGATTAAGTGCCACAGTTTTTTGTATTTTTGTGCTTTTTGTTGATCATTTTGCTGTTTAAAGTGATCCCAAAGCATCGTGCAAAACTGTTTAGTGTTTACAAGAAGGCTGTGGTGTCTTACAGAGAAAATGTGTGTTTAAGGTAAGCTCATAGTGCTATTGTAAGTTAGAGTTCTAGTGCTGTACTGCTGTTGGCGTGAGTTCAATATTAACAAATCAACAATATGTCATAGTTTTGTGACTGCAGTGATAGTGCCATTGGCGTGAGTTCATTGTTAGTGAATCAACACTGTATACATTAAATAAGGTGTTTTTAAACTGAAACACTCAGAAAACAAAGTTATGTATTGATCAGTTGATGAAATTATTGTGACCAGAGGCTTGTAGGAACCCACACTGTGTTTCCACTAGTTCAGTATTCCAGTAATTCAATGTTCACAGCAACTTCATGGAACATAACTTCTGGGAATAATGAGAACAGATAGTAAATGCAAAGCCAGAAGTAGTCAGCTTCCTGCCAGTTCTAGCTATGTTTTATTTCTTTTCATTCTACCCTAAGGTACAGGAGGAATAATTTAGTTTAGCTATAAGAAAAAAAAAAACAACTAGCTGGGCGTGGTGGCTCATGCCTGTAATCTCAGCACTTTGCGAGGCCAAGGTGGGTGAATTGCTTGAGCCCAGGAGTTCAAGACCAGCCTGGGCGACAGAGTGAAACCCCATCTCTACAAAAAATACAAAAATTAACCTGGTGTGATGGTGCATTCCTGTAGTCCCAGCTACTCAGGAGCTGAGGTGGGAGGACTGCCTGAAACCGGGAGAGGTCTAGGCTGCAGTGAGCTATGATTGTGCCACTGCACTCCAGCCTGTGACAGAGTGAGAGCCTGTCTCAAAAGAAAAAGAAAAGAAAAGAAAAAACAAACAAACCCATGACTTCCTATTGAGATAACTCAGGACTATGAAATACAAGGTTAAATTGCTTATTATAAAACATCATAACAATTGAGACATTTTGAAAGTTGCTGACAGTGGTGTTACTGATAGTATAGCATGGTGACTAAGAGTGTCATCAGTCCACCTGGATTCCATTCCCTTCTGTACCATTTGTCCTGTGTGACCTTGAGCAAAATACCTAACATCTTTGTGCTTCAGCAGTCATGTGTGTAAAATGGAGATGATACCACTAACTACTTCTTTGGGTTATTATGGAAGTTAAACGAATCAGTCAGTCAGTCTATGGAAAGCCATTAGACTAGCTCCTGGTATACAGTTAGTGCTTTTTAAATGATTAGAGTAATTGCATCTCCTCATTTGCCCAGGATAATTTTAGTTGTGATTAGCTGCCCCTTTCATTCTCAAAAGATATCCCAATTTGGAGGATAAATTGTATGGTCACCCTCTAATGTAAGGATGATTCATAATTATCAGCTAATACTGAATTATTGGCTATTTCTGTAAATACCTGTTGGGACGATTGATTTCTTTTTCTTCTTCAAGAAGTAAGTTGAAAAACTCCCTCCTCCTGGTTTTGGAGGGCTGCTTGGAGAAGAGAAATGGGAGAGGAACAGGTTGAGTATTCACATGTGGCATAATTGTGTGTTGTTTCCTTATTTTGTGTTTTTGCTCAGTGAAAGAAAGTGGTCTAGAATCTGGTTCTGGCATAGAGAGATTATATCTTTCCCACTGGACAGCTCTTTCTCTAGTAGCCAGGAAAGACTTGTGGGAAATATAGTTTATATTTTAGAACAGTTTTAGGTTATAGGAAAATTGAGCAGCAAGTACAGAGTTCTTATATACCCCCTGATGCTGCTCCCACCCCACACAGCTTCTACCCTACTATCAACATCCCACATCAGAATGGTACATTTGTTGTAATTGATGAAGCTACATTGACACATCACTATCACCTAAAGTACATAATTTACATTACGGTTTGCTCTTGATGTTCTACACTCTATGGGATGGATAAATGTATAATGGCATGTGTTCATCATTATTAGTATCATACAGAATAGTTTCACTGCTCTAAATATCCTCTGTGTTCCACCTGTTCATCCCTCCCTCTCCTTAAGCCCCTGACAACCAGTGATCTTTTTTATTATTTCTATAGTTTTGCCTTTTCTAATGCTGTTGAGTTTTGCAGTAGTTATTTGTCCCTTGTCCCACATAGTCTTTTGAGATGGCTATGAGACATAAGAGGCACTATTGAACAGGCAGGCAAGCAGGTTTGGATTTGGGCCATTTGAAGGCTGGAGACATATTTGGGAGTGGTTAGCATGTAGATGGAATTTCAAGCAATGGTGCTGAAAGAGATTATTGGAGAAAGACTAGAGATAGAGAAGTTAAAGCTGAGCACCAAGCCCTGAGACCTTCCAACACTAAGATATTGAGAAGTTGGGGGTGGGGGAGGACTGGCCAAGAATGCTGAGAAGGAGATGCCAGTGGGAGTAGAAGGAAACCCCGGATTATGTGTGCTCTAGAAGGCAAGCAGGATGTAATTTTTTTTCTTCTTCTTCCATATTTATAAAGGAAGAATCAACATACCTTAAGAATGGTTTCAATCTCTTGTGGCATTCTTTTGAGGATCAGTATTTTGTGCCATGTCAATGAGATACAGAGTTGTAGACAGGAAAGGCTCTGCGCAAGAAGCAGGTGCGACCGGCTCATTCAGGGTGTCATCAGTGTAAAAAGGATACACTTTTGGAACTCTGGAGTCATGGCATGGCCCCTGTGCCTTCCAGAAGATTATTGGAGTAATCAGCATCACTTCCAAAGAAGTGAAAAGTGAAGGGGAGGTAGAGCACTTCAGTAAATGCAGTAGATGCTGTTGAAGTTTCACAGTAGCTGTGGAATGTGGATGAGTCTTCTGCTTTCATTTGTTTTCAGAATGTGGAAAGCACAGGTTGTGTTTAAAGACAGGCCAGCCTAGGCAGAGCCTGCCATGGCCAGGCACCATGGTGCACACCTGTAATCCCAGCACTTTGGGAGGACAAGGCAGGTGGATTGCTTGAGGCCAGTAGTTCAAGACCAGCCTGGCCAATATGGCAAACCCCATCTTTACTAAAAATAAAAAAGTTAGCTGGGCGTGGTGGTGTGTGCCTGTAGTCCCAGCTACTCTGTAGGCTGAGACATGAGAATTGCTTGAACCCAGGAGGTAGAGGTTGCAGTGAGCCGAGATCACATGAGTGCACTCTAGCCTGGGCAACAGAGCAAGACTCTGTCTCAAAAGAACAAAACCAAAAACAAAAGCAAAGGAAGAGCCAGCCATATAGAACAGATACATTCATTCTAAGGGGAACATGTTCATCCTCAATATGTTTCTTCTTATAAAATAAACATCCAAGGGTTTTTTTGGGTCATTTGTAGTGATTTGATTTCCAAAAATAATTAGCTTTATAAACATAAATTGCATAAGTAATGTCCCCATTTTATAACTCTAAGTTGTCATTATGGAAGGGATAGGCTGTGCTGTAAAATTGTTGACTTTGAAGTAAAATGCTTATTAAGGATCATGAGTACCAATTTTCACATATGTCGTAGCCTATGTTGTAGCCAAAGTCGACATTTGAGAAATGGTTAAGGTTTTACAGCAACGTTTACTTTATTATCAGAATATAGTATATTCAGTCAAGTACTATTAATACCATTTCATATCGTAATTATGCCATTTCAAGGGAATTTATTAGAAAGGTTTACATGGATTCTTCTTTGCATTACCCTCCACTCCTGCCACCCCCCCACCCCACCTGCAGCCATCCACGTAAAAATTCATTATGTTACTGCCTTGGATTTTTGCCAATATAGAATAAATAATTGGATTTAGCTTCTGTTACAGTTTTGTCTGTCTCAGATTATGAATGTAAGTTGGTAAGATTTTCTGCCAATTTTAATTCACCAAGATTGCATTAAAATTATGAAGAGACAATTGAATGTAATTTTTCTTTCCTTTACTCCTGTAATTGAACTGTAAAAGTTCTCAATTAATTACAGTTCTTACAGAGTATCAATTATTGCAATTTGCAAACTCCAGAGCCTTTATAATGAAAGATAAACATTTTACAACCATACATTTGTCAACGTTTGATGCTAATTGCAGCAATTAATTCGTTCTTTAATGTTTAATGTTTTATAGGTTAATGAAAGCTGGCATTCTCTTCCCTCTTTATGTTAATATGAGAAACTTTTCAGGAGTAGGGTACAGATTGATACATGTATAAAACTATTTTTGCAATCTATTGCTTGTCTTAGCAACTAAATGAAAACCAGAGGTTGCAGAGGTTTGCTTATTCTTTTCTCTGCATATGTAGAGTGGAGGCCTGCAGGTTCCTGACAAACAAGAGCAGAAGTTTAATGAGTCCCTAAAAACTCAGTTTGTTTCTAAATAAAACATAAATTTGGAGAGTTGAAATGAGTGATTTCAGAAACCTTTTTGGCTTGGGTGAAAATTAGCATCTTCTCAAGTATTTCTTAAATGCCTTGTCATTTGAAGATGATAATAGTATCTATGACCATTTATTCAGCCCAGTGTGCTGAGTACTGTGGTAAGTTCTTTTAGTACTTTATGTTATTTAATCCAGAATTCAGACAAGATCTGACTCCAGAGCTCTCTCTACAGGGAGACAAGTTCAAATACCTGCCCTGGCAGCCAGGCCATATAGCTTAGTAAAGTAGGATGGGTGTGAGATGGGTCTGAGTAGTGGGATCACCATAAACTGGGCTGTGAGTACAGCGCCAGTCATTCCAGCCATGGTGGAATGTAAGCTCAGTGTTGCCAGATCTACTGATGTTTCAGAAAAAGTGGGAAATCTAGATGTGTGGGTGCACTTCCTTAATTTTTAAATGTTTGGAGCTAATTTAGGTTTTTAAAATACATGTGTAGGGCAGTTTCAACCCACCAGCCATCCATTTGAGAGCTCCGAAGCACACTGTGTTGGCTTGATCTTTTGGTCTGAATTAGCTTGATACAATGGCTGGGGCTTGTGCCTATGCATCAGGTGGCACTCTTGAAGTTCCTCAGAGAGCCTCTCTACAAATTCAGCAGGGGTTGGAGGGAAGAAGGGAAAATATATCTTAATGAATTATATTAATAAATACTAATATGTAATTTGAGGCATTGAGGAAATACAATTATATAACTTTCAGTGATAAAGCATGCTGATCTTTCCTTCATTTTCCTTCCTGTTACAGTTAATTGGGCAATCAGTTAAATAATATGCCTTTGTCAGATTTTTTATATTAGAGCACCTAAAGGATCAGGTAGATTTCTTTTTTATAGTATTAACACAGAAGTAAAAACAAAGTAGCCTTTCTTTAAAAGAATGAGGAAATGTATACATACATATACATACTCATTTTTTTTTCTGAATTAAAAAATAGTTAAGAAATTTGAGTTGGCTTGGCAAAGAAAACTGAGAAAATGCTTAAAATTAGAAAATATATAGACATATACTTTTTATAAACATTGCAAAGAAAAATGATGGAGACTATTTTTATGTTCAATCTCTAACTGTCCTAGGCATAGTGTAAGTGCCCTCCGCATGCAAGTCATGATTTACTGTGAATGGGTCTCCTGTATATACTGCTTTCAGCCTGTATGTTTTTTAAAAAATTGAATTTACCATTCTGTGTCATAAGACTAGAGGGTAAAGTTCAGATTTTGAAAGTCTAAGAAAATGTGATGGCATCCCATTCATCTTGTATTAAAGGTTCTATAAACCGTAATGGTTAGATCTTTGACCTCTGTTCCTACACCTGCAGCTAGTCCTAAATCAAAGTGTTTAAGCCTGACATGGGCTGTACCTGTAACTCAGTGTGGAAGCTGCATATTGTAGGCTATTTCTACTGTTGGAGAGGGAGGGCGGGCATTGTGGTAACTCTTTTTACCTTTTCATATGTTCATTAACTTTCCAAGGAAATGAAATGCTTCCCTCTTCTTTTTCTACGGTTAAATTTCAAGCTAGTGTTAAAAAAAAAAGTGCAAGGAATTAATGTACCAAACCCTGGAGATGTGTAAAAGAAAAACCTTTAAAATTGTATTTTCAAAAATCTTGAGTCCTTTTAACATTCCTATAGATAATTTAGTAAAGATAAATCATACTTACTTTTTCATGAAGCTAATTGCCTCTGGTTTGTATCCCCTGAGAAATACTAATTTACAAATTAGAACCTACAAATGATTTTTGTTTCAAAGACCACTTTTGTTTCAGAGACCACTTTCCAGGGAACAATTCTCAATAACGGAAGGAGGGTGTTTTAGTTCCCCCTTCAAAGGAAGGTATTGGCACTGTATGTTTTGTTTTGTTTTGTTTTGTTTTACAAAGAAGCCAGATGGTATTTATTTTGCATAGCTGTAATAAGTTCTAAGGAAAGCACTTGGAAATGGTACTAATGTTTAATGGAAAGATGTATAAACCCACTTGGGAACTGTAAAGCATTATGCAAGGTATAGTTTAGCTATTTAATATAATAACAGGTAATCATTCTGTGCTGGCTTTGTTATTAGCACAGGTGCCAGGGCATTTTGGGGCTCTGACATTTTATAGAAACCAGAGTAGCTGCTGACAACTCAAACAGTATTGTTACCGTGGCAGGGCCTGGATCCCACAGTCTAGCTATCCAGTGGTGCCTACCTTCTGTTCTGCAGGTATATCTTTCTCCATCCCTTTTAAACCGGAGACTATCACCCTGTGAAAGGATCACAGTGCAGCCTTCCCCTGAGTAAATGACAAATAGGCAGTTTCTTTAGTATTTTTCACATTCCTGCACCTGGCTGGGAGCCAGCTCTGCTTTTGTGGCAGAAAGTGAGGCTGGAGAGAATGTTTGGGAGCCAATCTTTGGTAGGGAAGTGACAAAATGCAAGGGTATATGTATATGGGCCAAAGTTAAGATAAACTTTTTTTTGGTAGTTTTCACTGTAATTATTAAGAGGCAATTAAAAAAAAGAGGTAACACTAGAAAATGACAAACTCCCAGAAGGTGTGATTACTTACAAATCAGCTGCTCTGGGTCCTGGTGAGTGACATAGTCCTGGTGATCAGTGTCAGCATCCTTCACAAGCAATGAAAGGAGAGTTCGCAATGACGCTGCTTCACAGGATGTAGATGGGTCCAGGCATTTAGGCTGGCTGAGAGGCATAAAGTGGCTGAGATTTGGTTGGGAAGAACCAAGATGAGGCGTGCCTCTGTGTGCTTTACGTAGACGGTGTTGTATGGTTAGAAGCCAGTAGTTAGAAATTCGGTTTGAAAAGCCGGGTCTGATGTTTCAGAGAAAAAGGGTAATGCGGCCAGAGACGTTTTTAGAAGCAGATTTTGGTAGATTCTTTTTACCTTTTAAAAAAATACATATATATATCTTTTTATGAGATGAGGTTTTCCTACATTGCCCAGGCTAGTCTCGAACTCCTGGGCTTAAACAATCCTCTTGCCTCAGTCTCCTGAATAGCTAAAATTATAGGCATACACCTCTGTGCCTGGCTTGGTAGAGTCTCTAAAAGGGGATTGATGCAAGAATAAAAGGGAGAAGAGTAAATACCATAAAAAGCCCATTGCAGAAGGTGTGTGTTTCAAAGCCAGGGTAGAGAAATAAGTAAGGGATGCATGTATAAAACAGAACAACATTGGTGAAATGTGACTGTTTATGGTTTACAAATTACTGATTGGCAGCAGGAAACATAGATTTAAGAATATACATGCTACAGAAATTTCCCTAAAGAAGTAACGTATTTTATAATTCTAAATTTACTGTTATTAAAGTTAGAGGCTGCCAGCAGCTTGGTTATGGTCAAATGCCAGGTAAGATTTTGGGATATGAAACATTTGACCCTTCTGAACTAAGTTCACATGCATTGGACCTCTCCGAAAGCCTTGTAAGAGGGTATAAAAGCAAACTTCCCTTAGCTTCCTACAAGTGAAACCATTATTTCCTCTTACCAGGGTACCTTGCATGGTGATTAGGCAGAAGGATAAGAGTTGTGATGTGTTAAAGGCTGTGCAGGACTGGCTTTAGTGTGGACATAACTGTCTCTAATTCCCTGGTGTGACTGGGGTGGGGGACATGTTGGCTGAATTCCCTCTCACTGACCCTACAAATACAAAGATGCTTAACATTCCACATCTCTCAGCCATTTGGATCTATAGAGTGGTTTCGGATTGTGTTCCATCAGGCCTGGAATTCCCTGAAGGCACTTTAGGGTCTGCCAATTTGGGTGTCAGGGAAGCAAATAACTGGGCCCTGGGCCTCCTGACCCTGCTACAAGCAGAACAGCTCTCTTTTATTGTGGAAGTCTTGGGACTTTTCATAAGATTCACTTGAAAAGGGATGAAACACATACAAAATCCACTATCTGGGGAAGCAGGAAAAGAGAGCATTCTGTATGTGAACAAAACTAGCTGATACAAGCCCCGGCCCTCCATCCATTTCTCTAGCTGCTGCACTTATTAAAAGGGCTTTATTGGCCAGGTACAGTGGCTCACACCTGTAACAATCCCAGCACTTTGGGAGGCCGAGGCAGGCAGATCACGAGATGTGGAGTTCGAGACCAGCCTGGCCAACCTGGTGAACCCCTGTCTCTCCTAAGAATACAAAAATTAGCCTGGCATGGTGGTGGGCGCCTGTAATCCCAGCTACTCGGGAGGCTGAGGCAAGAGAATCGCTTGAACCCGGGAGGTGGAGGTTGCAGTGAGCTGAGACCATGCCACTGCACTCCAGCCTGGTTGATAGAGTGAGACTCCATCTTAAAAAACAATAAATAAATAAATAAAAATAAAAGCTTTATTGAGATCACAATTCATATGCCATACAAATAACCCATTAAAATTGTATAATTTAGTGATTTTTAGTATAGTCATAGATTGTGCAACCATCACCAGAGTTTTACGATTTCATCACCTCAAAAAGAAATGCCCTACCCATTAGCGCTCACTCCGCATTTCCCCCCACACTTCCCCAGCTCTAGGCTGCCACCAGTCTACTTTCTGTTTCTATAGATTTGACTGTTCTGGAGATTTCATATGAATAGAAAATATAAAATGTGGTCTTTGATGACTGCTTTCTTTTACCTAGCATAAAGTTTTCAAGGTTTATCCATATTGTAATGTGTAAGTAAGTACCTTTCATTGCTGAATAATATGTTATTGTGTGAATATACCACATTTTATTTATCCATTCATTAATTGATGGATATTGGGTTCTTTTTTATTTTAAATTATGCTGCTATGAACATTTGTGTTGAAGTTTTTGTGCTTTCGATTTTTATTTCCCTCGGGTATATACTTAGGAGTGGAATTGAAGGGTCATATGGAAACTATGTTTAACATTTTGAAGAACTGCCGGCCTCTTCTTAAGTGGATATGTGTAGACTTGCAGCTGGCCTCTTTACCACCTTTGCACCTCAGTTCAGCTTTTTCCAGCCCTACACCCTGCCCTTCACCCTGCTCCCTCCAGGGTTACTTTCCTAAAATACCAGAAACCCTAGTGGTTCTCTTGTTACTTTGAAACAAATTGAAACTCTCTAATAGGGCATTTCGAGTTCTACATGGTCTAGGCCCAGGCTATGTTTATAATTTCATTTAATAGTAATTTCCAAGTTCTTGCGTAGATGTTTCATTATACAAGCACTAGATGTTTCATTATACAAGTCAGTGATTATTGAACTTCCTTTTAGTTATGGACCCCTTTGAAAATCATCCAATAGCCATACGTTTCTTGCTTCCTCAAAAAAAAATATGCATGTATAATTGTACTGACAACAACAAACCTGGCATGCAAGTTCAGAGAGTTTGTGATTGCTCTGGCACCATTAGCAAACCATGAAGTTCACCAACACATTGGCTGGGCACAATCTGAGTGTTCTTTGTTCAAACTACTCTCTCACCTCTCTTCTCCCTTTTCTCCTTCCTGCTGATTGCCTAATGAGAAGCTTTCTTGCTTTTTAGAGTATCTTTCAGAGAATCTGCTGGAAAGGAAGGTGGTTTGGCTCCTTTTTCCACCATTGCTGCTCCACAGTTGTGTGTGCAGTCCTGCAGCAGGGCCTTGAGGGAATTGAACAGAGAGGGCTAGCCTCTCTGAGAACTAGATGGTGAGTGCCATGAAGACAGAGACTTTTGTTGGAATTGTCCTGGGCTGTGTATTTTATGTGTCTAGAATAGAGCCTGGCACATAGTAGGCATTCACTAAGTAGTCACTGAAAGAATGGGTAGGGAAGGGAATTGAATCTGGAACCATCAGCTTTCTGGGATGGATGAAGCTATATATAGTAGGGCCCATGAGTTACAAGGGACCCGTATGCAGATACTGGATGTTGGTTACTGGGAATGGAACAAGAGGTTAGAAGAGAGTTTCTAAGACAGATTAAGAGGATGTATTAGTTTTCTATTGCTGCTATAACAAATTACAACAAACTTAGTGGTTTAAAACAACACAAATTTATTCTTTTTCAATTCTGAAGGTGGGAAGTCTGAAATCAATTTCACTGGGCTAAAGTCATGGTGTCACTAGGCTGTTTCCTTCTGGAGGCTGTAGGGGAGAATCCGTTTTCTTGCCTTTTTCAGCTTCTAGAAGTCACTTTTGTATCGTGGCTTATGAATTTTTCTGTCTTCAAAGCCTACTGTGTACCATCTTCTCTGATTTCTACTTCTCTTCTGACTCTTATCCTCCTGCCTCCCTCTCTTATAAGGACCTCTGTGATTACTTTAAGCCCACCTGGATAATCCAGGATGATTTTCCCATCTCAGTATCATTAATTACTTCTATAAAATCACTTTTACCATGTAAGATAACATATTCACAGGACATGGACATTTTTGAGATGATGGACATTAATAATGGACATGTACATGGCCATCATTTAGCCTGCCACAGGGGGCTCTAAAAATAAACATGGCGCCCTTTGTGTTTTTGCCAAGTGTGTCTGTTCCTTGCTCAGGGCTTCTTAATTGTGACATGACTTCTTCCTCACAATGATTACGCTAAGGCCAAGGACAGTGTTTGCATGTAAAGAAATGTTCCACCACTTCTCAGTTGCTGAGAACTGTTAGTTTTCCCTGGTTCATTTCTCTCCCACATGTAACTCACTGGGGAGGTACCAACACAAAGGACTTAAAAAGGTCTGTGCTGCATCCTCCTCTAATTTTGTCATTGGTAAGTACCTACTAAAACAGTAGCTATCAGAATGGGAATGAGAACTACCAGAGCATTTTTGTTTAGAACTCTTTTTTCCCCTCACATCCCAAACCACTTTTAATTTCTTATCCTCTTATTATCAATCCAGAGATAAAATTTCAGAAGAAAAGGCTAAAATAGAATATGAGAAGACATATAGTCTGCTGAAAAGGAAGTCTCTTGAGACCTTTACCAGATCAGGATGTAGGTAGGATATTTTCTGATTGAGAAGCAACTGTCCTATATTTGTGTCGAATCAACACATTTCCTATCACTGTTAGTCTCTGGTGAAGGATTCATCGATGAGCTTCATCTTCCTCAGCACTGATTTTGATGTATTGTTAATGGCTGCCTGGAGTGCAAACTCTGCATGTAGGCAGAGTGCCAGACAGTTACTGATGCCTGCCATGGGTTAGTGGCGGTGCGCTTGCCATGCTTTTATTCTCCCTGATCCAGTATGTCAAAAGAAACTGACTTCAACCTTCAGTGTCAATGTGACCACCAAAAAAATTCCAAATAAAGCAGCCCCAAATCTTACTTACCGGCAGCAGAATATAAATTCATTTTGGTAGAGTACAGAATGTTCTGTATTAGGAAAGTATTTCCAGCAGCACATACTTCGCTGCCACTTATCTGGAATATTTCTTTGTTTAGGGAAGATATTTTATTATATAACAACAACTTAGACATGTGAAATCTGCCTGGTATGTTACAAGTCTCCAGCCTAAGTGAATATGACCTTCTCTGGTAGGATACTGCAGCCATTTAGATTGACAGCTCATTTAAGTGAGGGAGACGTCCAAGAATGATTTCAGTTTGCTTTAGGCAGATGGATATTAATGAAGAAAAAGTACCTTGAAAGGATGCCATTCTGAGGAGGGCACCGGACAGCGGCATTGATTATAACCAGAGCTCCTTTTTTTCTGTGTTTCCAGAGCTAGAGTGCTGAGTGCTGCGCTGCTTAGTCTCTCTGTCATCCTTCTGAATTGGATAGGGGAGGGGCTGGTCTGGCAGGTTTTTCAGAAAATGCAGCTGGCATTGAAGAAACTCAGATTGGACTGGGTCTCTCTTTAGTAATCCTAATTGAAGAATTGTAAAGACTTGTGCTGGGAGTTTGTGTCTTCATTGGTGGCCCTTCCTGTACCTAGCACAGTTCTGGGAAGCCAACTTGTGGTCAATTAAATATATGTTGACTTATCAGTGATAAAAGCAAGGTAGAGACTGACCCAATTTGTGGGCATTACTTTCTTAGTAAAATAATAATAGAACGAAATTCTTTTACATGTTTCACCTTTATCATTTTTTATTTAAAACAATAAATTTCATTTGTTTATGTATTCACTGATCAAATATTTGACTGTCTCCTATATTCCAGGTACTATGGCCAAGTCTGGGTGGGTGGGTGGTTGGGTGTGTGTGTGTGTATATATACACACACAATATATATATACACACACACTATATATATATATAAATATAGTAGTGAACACAACAGACATGGCCCCATCCTCTAAACCTTGCTAAGAGAGACAAAAGTAAACAAAAATTATAAAAGAATTAATTGCCATCATAGTAGGTACACTGAAGAAAATATATGGGGATTTATGAAGTCATAGAACAAGAGAACTTAGCCTATCCCAGCAGGTTCAGGGAAAGCTTCCTGGAATAGATGAAATTTAATCTGATGCATGAAGGATGAGTGGGATTCATGAGGGAAAAAGGGGAGCGAGAATAGGAGGGCCAAAATGAATAACCCCCAGAGGGCTTCACAGGGCACCTGTAAACCAATATTTGATCACACTGTGTCAACCAGGACCAGAGCACATTGCTGGCTGTGATTTTCCTGATTATCTTTCTTGGAGGCTGAACCTGATATGGTTGCTGACCCTTCTGTTGTCTGCACATTTTGTCATGGCGTGGATCTTACTGTGAACATCTGCACTACGTTGATTTGTGTAATTTATTTGCTGAGACCATTCAACATTAATCTTGGAAAATGATCTTTTTCTTTGCAGTTCCAGCTGCTACTCTTCTTGCTGGATGTCTTAGTTGAGGGTTGGCCAGTAGTAACAGGTGGGCAAGATCAGCTCACCGCTGAGAGCTGAGGCAGCAGGTGTTTTGGTTCAAGCACAGGGTCTGGCTCTGGTTTCAAATGAAGTTGTGACTTAAGCACTCTTTGCCTTGGTTTTCTTATCTATAAAATGGGTATAATGACCATCTCATAAAGCAGGCTTGCTGTTGGTTTTGTTTTTTCCTCAAAAATGTAGTGCCACATTTAAGATCATCACATAATAAAGCAACCACAAAAGACCTAAAAAAAATCCCTGCAGTTTTAAAAAACGTTAGAAGAAAGGTTACTAGACCATAAGCAAGCTCCACATCAGGCTCTTTTTTCAAACATGGGTTTTAGCTGAATCATCTTGAACCTCCTGGGAGGTGGACCTTATATGTTTGGTAGGACCATTATCTGCACAGCTGAGGAGCTCACCTTGGCAGACTACAATCATTTAAAGCACTCATTTGAAGTATGGGTGTGATTTTGCTTGTGATGGTGAGTTAACAGCCAAACAGGGCTAACTTGTGTTTCTGGTTAGGAGGGAATGTTTCTAGGCAGCTTTTCCTGGTCCACAGAAGGTTTCTCTTTAGTGGTGAGATTGGAAATGCTTTACAGGGAAAAAAAAGATAAAGGTTGTGTAACATGATTGGTTATAAAACATGAACATCTTGGTAATACTACAAAGAGGAAATAAGTGGAAGTATTATCCCCGAAAAAAATTCATAGAACTTAAATACGTATTTCCATTAAAAAGTTGTCCTCCTCGTAAGCCAAATTATTTCATTCAAGTTTCATCCAGGGAACCAGAATACTTTTACTTTTGCTTCAGATTTGATTTGATTCACCGGCATTCTTGGTTCCCGAAATCATACCTCATTTTTTAGAAATACTTTCTTGATCTTTTTGTAGCTAACTCACTTAGTAAAGTATGCAAATTTTCCAAAATAACTAATAGATCATTTAACATAGAAAGCTTTAAATTATGTCTTAATTATGTCAATGTAAAAATAAAAGGTGGGTGGTTTGGTTTATATTGAAGTAAGTAGCATAAACAGAAATTTAATTAGTACCTTATTTTTAATATCGTACTTTGGCAAACCTTTCACAGTGATAAATGAAATTTTCCTTTTCATTGGGAAAAGCCAAGTTACTGTTGTTTTTGGTTATATAGTTGCATTCCTTCAGGCTGGTAACAGTGTAAGCTAAAGACAAATTGTAAGAGCTACTTGCCTCAAGATATTTATATCCTAGAATTATAACGGCCTTATGGTTTCTTCTTTTTTCAATTTTCTTTCTTTTTTTTTTTTTGAGACGGAGTCTCGCTCTGTCGCCCAGGCTAGAGTGCAGTGGCGCAATCTCGGCTCACTGCAAGCTCCACCTCCTGGGTTCACGCCATTCTCCTGCCGCAGCCTCCCGAGTAGCTGGGACTACAGGCGTCTGCCACCACCCCCGGCTAATTTTTTGTATTTTAAGTAGAGATGAGGTTTCACTGTGTTAGCCAGGATGGTCTCGATCTCCTGACCTTGTGATCCACCTACCTCGGCCTCCCAAAGTGCTGGGATTACAGGCGTGAGCCACCGTGCCCGGCCTTTCAATTTTCTTTAAACAATTTTCTTTACATTTGCATTACAAAACAGTTGGAGTTAAATGACAAATATTTCACATTTCTATGAAAAACAGCTAGAAATCAAATAGTCTTAACTATATAGTACCTAGAATTCCAGTTCCTCTGAATTTTCACAGATGTGTATTTTTAGCTGTCCATTAGACATCTCCAAGGCAAAATTAAATGGAGCTCTTCCTGCTGCTTCTCCCTGTTCCTAAATCTCTGTCTTCATTAATGGTTTAAGAACCCACTTTATTGACCGGGTGGAAACCTTGACCAGAAATCTCAGCATCTTCCTTGACTTCCCATCTAATGCGTTTCTTGAGTCTATTAATTTTATCTCCAGATTGTTACCCTATGCTGGGTCCTCTTGATTTCCCACTACCAGGCTTTATTGTCAGCTTGCCCAGATTAGCCACCTAACCGGCCTGCTTGCCATCTGTTCCTCCCTACTAGTAATCCATCCTTGCTCTGCTCCAGTTTTCTCGGATTGAGTGATTTATTGGCTTCCACACCTCCAGTGGTTTCTTATTGTCTACAGATTAATTGTAAACTTCCCAGCATGCAGTATAACCTTTGCAATCAAGCTCAGCCCTGCTCTGCAGTCTTCTTTCTGTGCCCTTGTTCCTCCTGGAGTGGAGTCTGTACCTCAGCTCCACTGAACTTCCCAGTTTCCCCAACCAGACCCACGTTGCTTCCACTGCCCATTGTGCTTTGCTCCCCTGCTCCCGTCATGTCATCCTTCGCACTGATAATCCAGCTTACACGTGTCCTTACCTGTGTTTACCACAAGAGTGGTCACTCTGCCCTCTGGAGTTTTCTTTGTAGGCCTCTTTGGTTTTTTACTCACCATACTTCTGACACCAAATGTGTGAATTTTTTTTTTATACCAACCGACTCTCTAACCCTTGAGACACCAATTGTGTGTCCTACAGTTCCGGTCCTACAATTTAAGTTCCTACATTAACCACCCTGAGTTTGCATCACACTCCACAGGTTTAAGGTTTCAGCCCACAATACTGCCCTCATTTAAGACGGCAGATGCAAGTATTGGGTCCCCAGGTTACCCACACTTCTCTTCTACTTGGCTACAAAGTTGTGGGGGGATTTCCACAATCCACCCCTATTTCAGGCCCTGATGATTTGCTAAAATGGCTCACAGAACTCAGGAAGGTACTCTACAATTTCTGCTTTATTATATAGGGTACGACTCAAGAACAGCCAAATACAAGGATTGTTACAGGGCAAGGCTGGAGGGGGTGCAGGTACTGCAGACCACCTAGTCCCTCTCAGGGCCTGCTACTCTCCCAGCACCTCAAGGTGTTCATCGACCCTCCCTAACCCCATCAGTTAAGGGTTATTGTGGAGGCTCCATTACATAGGCACTATTGATTAAATCATTGTTCCTTGGCAATTGAACTCAAACTCTTCTCTTCTTATGACTGGAGATAGGCAGGCATGGCTGAAAGTTCCAGCTCTGCAATCATGCCTTGGTCTTTCTGGCATGCTGAGAGCCATGCTGAAGCTATCTAAGGGTCCCCAGCTACCAGTCATCTCACTGGCATACAAAAGACACTCCTGTCACTGGAGATTCCAGGTATTTCAAGGAGCTGTGTTCCAAGGACCAGGGATGAAGACCAAATACTTATTATTACCACACCTGTGTTATAGATCCTGTATTGTAATTGGCTGCATGCCTCCCATCAACCGCTCCACTGTGAGTGTTGGGAGGGAAAGGATCATTTCTTACTAAATTTTGTTTAATGAGCTAACCTCTCCTTGGCATATAATTCAGCTTCTTCTGTTTTGGTTCAAGTATTATGCTACCGTTTCTCTACACACACTTAGACACACACACACACACACACACACACACACCCCTATACACATACTATTGTACAGTCAGTGTGGTTAAAATTCCACTGATAGGAATATACCCCAGAGACTTGAAAACAGACACAAGAATAGATATTCGTATGCAGATGTTCATAGCAGCATTATTCCAGGTAGCCAAAAACTGGAAACTACTCAAGTCTCCATCAGCAGATGAATGGATAAACAATTGCTATCTATATGACATATATAATGATATATATCATATGTGTATTATAGATATATACACTTGTATGTGTATATCTATTTAGGTGACCCTAAATTGCTATCTATTTATACACTAAATCTGGTAACCCTGGCCGGGTGCAGTGGCTCACACCTGTAATCCCAACACTTCGGGAAGCCAAGGTGGGTAGATCAGTTGAGGTCAGGAGTTAGAGACCAGCCTGGCCGATATGGTGAAACCCCGTCTCTACTAAAAAACATAAAAATTAGCCAGGCATGGTGGCACATGCCTGTAATCCCAGCTACTCAGGAGGCTGAGGCAGGAGAATCACTTGATCCCGGGAGGCAGAAGTTGCAGTGAGGTGAGATAATGCCAGTGCACTCCAGCCTGGGTGACAGAGTGAGGCCCTTTCTCAGAAGAAAGAAAGAAAGAGGGAAAGGGAGGGAGGGATTTAAATATCATGTATATTATCAGATTTAAAATAATGTGATTGTTTTTATTTTGAGAAAAAAACATATACTGTTAGATTTATTTCAGACTTTTTTTTTTTTTTTTTTTTTTTTTTTTGAGACGGAGTCTCTGTCGCCAGGCTGGAGTCCAGTGGCGTGATCTCGGCTCACTGCAACCTCCGCCTCCTGGGTTCAAGCGATTCTCTTGCCTCAGCCTCCTGAGTAGATGGGACTACAGCTGCGTGCCACCACACCTGTCTAATTTTTGTATTTTTAGGAGAGACGGCGTTTCACCATGTTGGCCAGGATGGTCTCGATCCCTTCAACTCATAATCCACCCGCTTCGGCCTCCCAGAGTGCTGGGATTACACATGTGAGCCACCACACCTCCTGGCCTCAGACTTATTTTTTAAGCATTTATTTAGGTGTTTTGCTCATGTATTTTTCCATACAATAAAATATATAAGCATTCACTCCCCTTCCCATAAAGAATTCTTGAAAAATAATGAAATATGTTTAGTCTAAAGTACCTGAAGGCAGAGCAGATCAATGTTTGAAGCCAAACACTTGAAGCAATAACTTGATTTTTTTTTTTTTTTTTTTGGTTTTGTCTTGTCTTGAACTCCTGGCCTCAAGTGATCTTCCTGCCTCAGCCTCCCAAAGTGCTGAGATTATAGGCGTGAGCCACAATGCTCATCCTCAAGGAGGTGTTAATATGATAGATTTAAACTTAGATAAAATTTTTATAGATTTTAAAAATATTTTTTAGTTGGTACTGTGTACTGTTGAATTTTCAAACCCCGTGTAATAACATTACATGAGGCTAATCTGTTATCTGTTAGAGTGTATGAAAGAAGTGTTAATTTTTTTTTCCCTTTGGTTTTTCAGGTTCTTTATAGAGTTGGAAGCAAGACATCAGAATAATATCTTCATAGATGACATAAGTGACATTGTGGAAAAACACACAGCATCCACATTTGACCCATATGTGAAATACTGCACAAATGAAGTCTACCAACAACGAACACTACAAAAATTGTTGTAAGCAATGTCGAATGCTACAGTTTTAATCATCTAACCTAGTTTTAATTAGGCTACATTGACTGAAATTAATTGATCTTTTGAATTATATTTAGAAATGCCTCCTGATAGGCTATTTCCCAGAGGAGAAATGTTTAAGAGCATTACTTTTAGGGTGAGGGTGTTTAAGTAGAAAAATCTAGTGTGTAGAGAATTTTCTCTCTTACGAAATTATAGCTTGTTATTGATGTCCTTGTTTAGTGTTTCGTTGTTTTTAATTGTTGCAGGAAACAGAGGTGGTCCTCACTCTAAACCCGCAGTTTTCTAAGCTTTTTACTGGCAATTAAGTGGTTTTCCTGAGGCTTAGAGGGGATTCTTGAGTTGATTGAGCTAAAAGCTAAGATTCAGAGTTTTCTCTACTATTCTGATCTCCCTCCATTCAATTGACAACGATAATAAATTGTTCATAAAAATTGCTGATTATTCCCCCCACTTGGGTAGTTAGAGTTGAAGAGAGGAGGGAAGTTCTGAAGGAAAGCAGTAGAAAAAAGTAATGTTCTTAAAGATTTCAGTTATGCAGCAAAAGAGTTAAGCATTAGATTTCCTGCCACATCTTTTCTTTTTGTCCTTTTTAGGTTACTGAGAGTTTTGATGTGATGCATATGCCATCTGTGTCCTTAAAAGAGTCACCAATTGTTCAGTAATGCCTATATGTATTTTAAAGAGTCCTGTTTATCACAAGTAGCTGTTTTACAGCACAGTTGTGCACTGCTGTAAACCCAGTTTGGGAGCTTAATGGCTGTTATCGTTCTCACCCCCTCCTGTGAGTTGTGGCATTTATGACCACGGCATGGAGCTTCGGTCAACTTCTGTGCAATATGTGAGACCCCTATGGAGGAGTAGGGGTTGAGGATGACTAACTTATGGCTGCTTGGAGAAATAGTCAAAGCCTCTAAGCTGATGAGAAGGGCTGATGATGGCCCCCTTTTTCCTCCACATCTTCATGACATTTTCATATAGCCAGGGTGGAAAACACACAGCTGCTAACCCCAATGAGATTTTTAGTATAAAGCAGGGTTTGTTCGCACAATTGACATTTTGGACTGGATAAGTCTTTGTGGTGGGCTGTCCTATGCATTTTAAGATGCTTAAGGGCATCCCTGGCTTCCATCTGCTAGATGCCAAAAATCTCCCCAGACATTGCAGAAGGTCCCCTGAGGGTAAAACCACACCCATCACTTCCTCACTCCACCACGCCCTGGTGGGAACCGCTGCTATAGGAACAGAGGTTCTCTGTAACTGTTAGAGAATGCAAGTTCATGTCTGAAAACAAAGCCTTGAATTAGAGATAAATTTGGGTTTCATTTTGTTTTGCAGGATTTAAAAAATGTCACTAGGTACTGCTATACATCATGTGACTCTTAAAGGTTTTATCTAAATTAGCTTAATGATAACATCATCAGCACTTTCACGTGGCAATTAGTAGTGTTTTCAGGGGATTTGTTGCAGTTGATGTGATTTTTTTTTTTTTTTTTTTTTGAGATGGAGTCTCACTCTGTCACCCAGGCTGGAGTGCAGTGGCGCAATCTTGGGTCACTGCAACTTCTGCATCCCAGGTTCAAGCGATTCTCCTGCCTCAGCCTCCCGTGTAGCTGGGACTACAAGTGCATGCCACCACACCCAGTTAATTTTTTGTATTTTTAGTAGAGACTGGGTTTCACCGTATTAGCCAGGATGGTCTTGATCTCCTGACCTCGTGATCCACCTGTCTCTGCCTCCCAAAGTGCTGGGATTACACGCGTAAGCCACTGCGCCCAGCCCGCAGTTTATGTGAATTTAAGGTTAGAACAGTGGCTTTCAATTCTAGCTGCATGTTAGAAATGCCTTGGGGCCTGAAAATGAGCAAATGTACACTGTCCAGAGTCCATCCCAGACTATTTAATCAGAACCTTTGGAAGGTGAGGGAGGGGACTGGGACCTGAGTTATTTAAATATACAACTAATTTAGAGGTTTTTGTTTTTTTTTTTTAACTTTCTAAAAATCTTGTCAAAGCTATCAGTAAAAGGAAACTTAAAACTTCTCAATTAGAGAAAATGGAAATGAATTGTTTCTGTATAATTTCTTTTCATTTGCTATTCTGGCATTCTCCCCCTCCCTGCTTTTAGTAGCAGCCTTGAACAAGATTATTTAATTTTCAAAATAACATTTTTTTTAAAAAAAATGACTGCTATTGTCACTATCCTGCTTCCTTCTCCCTTCATGGGAGTACAATATCCATCTACCTCCTACCCTCCTTGCCTTGGAAAGTGGCAGTGGAACTCTACAGAGCTCCTCATGGGATGAAGTGAGGTAAGAGAGTGAGAAATGGGGGGACAAGAGTGTCAGATTTAACATTAGAAAACTTGGGTTTGAGGCCAGGCACAGTGGCTCACGCCTGTAATCCCACCACTTTGGGAGGCCGAGGCAGGTGGATTACTTGAGGCCAGGAGTTCGAGACTACCCTGGCCAACATGAAACCTTTTCTCTACTAAAGATACAAAAATTAGCTGGGCGTCATGGCACACACCTGTAATCCCAGTTACTTGTGAGGCTGAGGCATAGAATTGCTTGAACCTGGGAGGCAGAGGCTGCAGTGAGCCGAGATTGTGCCATTGCACTCCAGCCTAGGTGATAGAGCAAGACTCCATCTCAAAACAAACAAACAAACAAACAAACCTGGGTTTGACTTCTGTCTTTGGCAGTTACTAAGTCATATTTACTTGGTGAGGTAGGGACCTTTCTGCATTCCATTTTCTTACTGGAATCCCTATCTGGCCTTCCTTAAAAGTTACGTAGGTGGTTCCACATGAAAGAATGTATGTCACAGTATCTCGCTAAGTTTCATTAAAATGTTATAGCAGCATTAATACTTTTCTTGCATTAACAGGAGAAAAAGAGGAATATTTCGACTGATGTGATGAAAAGGTTTTCTGTCTCAGAAAGAGGATCTTTGTGGCCTAAAGCCTCTGAAGTCCAGTCTAACTGTTAATTTCTTATGCCATTGTCTAGGGCTGGAGAAGTGGCTTAAAACATATTATTTATGATCTTATTAATGATATATGTTTATAGATGATCGGATATAAAAGACCTAGTCTGTATACTGATTTATGACCCATATATTCACCATTATGATACCACAGCTTCTTCATTTGCTTACCTTCCACTTGTATAAATTTCTAGCTCCTACATGTTTTGCCTTATTGTTAATACTGTTATGTGAAATCCACATCTTATTATATTCAGCCTTGAATATAAAAGGCAGACAAGCCATTCGTATTTGCCAGTGTAATTATGTGCTTATGATATTTTCATACAGTTTAAAATAGTTGATGCTATATGGATTTATCACAGTATTTTGTAATACATTTTTACTTGCTGCTTAATTTGAGGAGGAAATATTTTGAAGTTTCTCTTTTCTTTGTTTTCCCTCAGAGCTACCAATCCATCCTTTAAGGAAGTATTGTCAAGGATTGAGTCCCATGAAGACTGTAGGAACTTACCCATGATCTCTTTTCTCATTCTCCCCATGCAGAGGGTGACCCGCCTTCCCCTGCTGATGGATGTAAGACATGACGGTGGCTTTTTCCTCTGTGGATAGCTGTGCTTCTCTAAATCTGATTTAGAAAATTATTATTATTCCACTTAAATTGATGCATATTTAAAGGTCTAAAAATCCCCCAATTAAGTGAGAAGGTGTTGTTTGTTCAGAAAGTCTCACCTGTATCTGATATCTCTGGAAATTATCTTTCATTTAGGCTTCTATGGTCATTCTGAAGAAATTGGATCTCATCACCCACTTACTCAGCATTTTTTGAAATAGGAAGAGTTGTGGCTTCTTTATGTCAGGAGGCCTGGATTCCAATTCTAGCTAAGCCATTAGGCATGTGACCTTGAGCAACTCAGTCTCTTTGGGCCTAAGATTCCTCAGACTGATCACTGAGATCCCTTCATCTATAATGTTCCAAGGTGCCCTGGGCCTTCCATTTCATACAGGAATGAGAGTCTCTTCAGCATGACAAGGCATAGTACTGCCTGTATTATGCATTGTGCGAAGTGAGTGAGGAAAGCCCAGCTTCCTTCTTGTGTTAGGCAGCATTCATGAGGAAAGCAAGTGTTTTTGACTTTGAATCACGGCAAGACATGACTGGGAAAAGTGAGTAGAGTCTGCCTAGTAGTACGTGCAGCTGGAAAGACAGGTAGGCTATGGGCAGGAGAGCCTGCCACTGGCTGCACTGGAGCTGCTGGGGCAGCAAAAGAGAAAAGTGGGGTGGCTCGACACAGGTGCCATTCTAGCAGTGGATCACAGAGTGTCTTTTTGATCTAATTAGAAAATATTTTGTTATGATTTTCCTACTTTAAAATTGGATCATAATGTTGATATAAGGTCAACTTTTTACATACCTGATTTTGACTAATCAAAACAAAGTAAAATATATATTAAAAATTATGATTAAGGTTACAAAGTAAATTTCACATTCTGTATCCCATTGTAAATTCTAAAATACATTCTTTAAAAATGCTGAAATTTTGAAATGTGTAAAAGCATGGAATCATGAGCATTTAGCTGACTGCTGCAGTTTTGGAGACGTTTTGTCAGGTATTTCAGGATTCATAGCACCTTGTGCTCCTCAAGTTTACTTCGATCTACTGCCTTTACACCTTCTCCACCCATCACCTGTAATTCAGGAACTTCCCCCCTGTGTACATATTGGGAAGCTTGCAGTTTTGAACATTTCACTTTCTGATTTTTTTTTGAGATCAGTATTTATCATGTTTAAAGATAGAATGTGGCTAAGTTATCAGAATCGAATTTTTGCTTAAGAAGGAAACTTTGGTCCATATAAGGAAGTATTATTTCAAACATGACTATTTTTTTAAGCAAGAAGTGAATGCCTTGTAAATACAACATTTCTTGTAATATTAGACTTTTGAATTTTCAGGGTTTTCTTCTTCTGAAAATGCATTTTATTCCTCTTTGAGAATTGAAATAAAAGAACAAAAATAAATAAAATGCATTTTAAACATGTTTTCCAGATTTTATATATGCTGTGATGGCCAAGCCTTTTATATCCTCTTTAAATTTGAGAAAATTACTTGTATGGAATGGGACTCTAAAATCTAACACATTATGTTATACAGTGTTGGAGATTCATGCCATGATTGCTCAGTAGGCTTTAAACTTTTTTTAAGCCACAGACCCCCCCTTGAGATTCTGAGTAAAGCTATAGCTTTTCTTCCCAGAGAATATGTGTATGCACAAAATTTTACATAAAATATCAATATATGGAATCCAGCTAAGGATGCCTGCTCTCAGGGACATAAACCAGTATTTTTCATGCTGCTTTCATACCCATTAGTGGGCCATAAAACTGATTTTTGAATTATGAGCATATGTACGTTGCTCATAAAGTGGTTAAATATTGTTTCATAAAATCCTGGTTCATTTATGTGTGCATGTGTGCTGGTTGCAGTGTAAAAGTATTTCTTACAGTGAGTCATAGTCAAAAAATATAAGAACCTCCACAGATGGTGCACTCTGTGTTTCTCACATAGCAGATAGTTAAAAATCTTGATGCCTGACTTTCAGATGGCTTGGCTTGGTGCTTCTGTACATTTAAGGGACCAGTGACTTGCTAGTAGCCAACTACTTTCTACCTCTGCCTGATGCCTGTTGCTCTAATCTGTTTCTCATGTGTGGAAATCTGGCCATTTAGGCAGAATGTAAATGTATTTAAAATAGTGTCTCTTCAATTTTACCTCATTTGGAAATTCAGTTAAGCTTGTTCATTAAAATAAACACTTTCAGTAATTAAAGTGGTTCCCTGGGCTTTGAATGTGTGTGTATAGCTTTAAAGTTATATGTAATTAAATTTACCGTGAATTGACCCTGTTTGACCTGATTTTCCTATCACAAATGAAATTTCTCAGTATAAATATATCAACAGAAAACCTAGCAGGCTTTTTTTCCTTTGCTGGTTTTTTTGGGTTTTTTTTTGACTGTTTTTTCTTTGAGATGCTGTCACCCAGGAGTGCAATGGTGCGATCTCGGCTCGCTGCAACCTCCACCTCCCAGGCTCAAGTGACCCTCCCACCTTAGCCTCCTGAGTAGCTGGGACCACAGGTGCACACCACCATGCCTGGCTAATTTTCTTTTAGTATTTTTGTAGAGATGGGGTTTTTCCATATTGCCCTGGCTCCTGGACTCAAGTATTCTGCCTGCCTTGGCTTTCCAAAGTGCTGGGATTACAGACATGAGCCACTGTGCCTGGCTGTTCTTTTTATTCAAAATGTATCATCTATAAATATAATTGCCTCTAATAATAATGATTATAATGGTGATAATTAAAGTAACTCTTATTTATTGAGGGCATACCCTATGCCAGGCACTAATAAAGAACTTTACATAAATTATCATTAACACTTCTAACAACCTTGTGATGTAGCTGGCATCACCCCAGTTTTACAGATGAGGAAAGAGAGGCTTATAAAGATAGAGTTAGTGACTTGCTCAAGATTTGATAACTAGTAAGGGCAGACCTGGGATTTGAAACCAGGGTTACCCACCTCTGAATTCTATCTTTCTTAACCATTCCCTGGATGGACTTGGATCCTGTGTTTAAAGATTATTTCCTGGTTTTTAAATTGGGTTTTAATATTATCCTCATACTCATCCGTAATATCGTGTTTGGCATTGTTTGCTATGAGTAAAAGGATATGGCTGGACATTGGTTTTATTTTACTTAATAAAATAGATCAATAAATTTTGTTCACTTTTATTTCATTACAGACTATCTGTCAAAAAACACCTAAGGACTCTCCGAAGTATGAAGTCTGCAAAAGAGCCTTGAAGGAAGTTAGCAAGGTAACTGTTGGGTGACAGTTTGTTTGTAAGACAGGAAACCATTCAGTTAGCTCAGACACAAAGTGTGTCTTGGCTTGATGCTGAAAACTGGTAGAGTCTCACAGCCATTTGTACAGCGTTCTTTAGGTAGTTGCAAAACAAAATCATATTTGCTATACTCAGGTGAAGTTGGTATTTTTACTGTTTCAGACAGTTTTGTTTTAAGAGCCTACAGATACCTCATTTTCTTTTGGTGGCTGAATAGCTGTTTATTCATTTCTCGTTCAGTAAATGTTTATTGAGTATCAACCACTGTGCCAAGAATGATGCCAGTTCTTGGAAATGCAGTGATGAGTGAGGCACGTGTAGTCACTGTGCTCGTGGAATGTGCAGTGGAAAGAGGAGGGCAGACATTAAACAGAGTTACAATGAAGGGTAGTGGGTGATGTGATAGGGAAGTCCACAGTGGTGTCTAAGCTGAGACCTAACACAGGAGTGGCTGTGAGCCCAGGATTGGGGGAAGAGAGTGTCTCAGGTATGTGTAGAGGTCCAAAGGCAAGAAAATATTGGAGATTTTGAAGAACTGGAATGTTCTCCATGTGGCTAGGATGCAATCTGAGAGACAGCACTAGGGAACCAGCTGTGTGGGGCCTTGTTATACATGCTAGGCTGTTGGGGGCCTGATCGTAAGATGATGTAGAGGCTAAATTCATGTATTATGAAGATGATAGTGGTGATGGGGCCAGTTCTGAGGCCAGTGATAGTTGATTAGGCAAGGGATGGCAGTGGCCCCTATTGACATGATGGTAAGGTGGTGAGAAGTCTACCTGTATACTGGGGAGGCAGACTTGGAAACTGATTGGGTGAGCACATTTCAGGACAGAAGTCAAGGAATATTGTCTGTGGCTTGGGCAGCGAGGTAGATGCTCTTCCTTCATCTACGATAGAAACATAGGGAGAGTGGATAAGTTCCATTTGGGTTGTGTTGTCATTGAGATTCCTATAGAACGTCCAAGTTGGCTAAATAAACAAATCAGAAGCTCAGAGAGGAGACCTGAACTGGAGACATGGATTTGGGAATCATCAGCATATGGACAATAGTTGAAGCTGGGTGAGTGGATGAGGTTACTTAGGGAGACTGGAATGAGAAGGGCAGTGAGCCTGAGGAATGACCATGAGGAATGCTAGCATTCATAGTCTTATTAGGGAAAATGAGCCAGTGGAGAAAACTAAAAAGAACAAAACAAAGTAAAACATACCAGGGAAGAGGAAGGAAAACCGTAATAGCTTGGCAAATGGCAGTTAATTTGGTGGTTAACTCTGTTGAATGCTTCTGAAAGATAAAGTGGGATAATGATTGAAGTTATCCTTAGGTTTATCATCAGTAGGTTGTATACTGGGGTTGGGGGGCGGGGATAGGGAACCTGAGCTGAGTGTATTGAGAAATGAGAGGGAGGTGTGAATATGCAGCCAGCCGGCAGTGGTAGCTAACTGTCTAAATTCAGGGAGTAGAAAGAGAAAGAGCTGTAGCTGAAAGGGAAGTGAGAGAGGGTCTTCGTTAGTGTATTTGTTTAAAGATTAGAAAAATGTAGGTAGGGTTAGCTACTGATAGAAATATCTAGCTGAGAGGAAGCAATAGAAGGTGTAGGTGTCACTGAGGATACTGTATGAGGTTGGCACAGAGGAGCAAAGATAATGGTAGCATCAGAAGCTTCCTAAATGTCTCCAGTTACATAGCCCTATATGAATTGGGTATGGCTTTGTACCACTTTGCTATGAAGTACTGTTTCTTTTAGTCAATTTACATCGAGTCACCATTTTACTTACCCTCTTCCTTGCCAATAATATTTACAAAATCATGGGTTTTATTAGTTGTTTATTTTTCTAACATTTTTGTAGTAAAAGTAAGTGTATCTGTGAGCCACTTAAATTCATCTCTTCATCCCATCAGTGGTCTGCACACCTATTTTGGGAACAGTAAGTAAAGAAAGCCTGACAAGTGAGAAGTTACCTAAGGTACTATTGCCAGTGGTGCTTCCTCCAAGACCTCAAGTCCTGTGCTGCTTTCCTAGAGGAGGAACTGGGGAGGGAAACGGGGGAAGGTTTTTAGGAGAAACTACTAGAGAAGTTCTAGTCTTGGACATAAATGGGATTTTGACAAATTTTGCCTGGTTGTTACTAAGAAATTGAAAAAAAAAAAGAATTTGCACAGAGAAAAAAATAGGAAGGTACTAGTAGTTGGTTGTTGAATTAAACCTGGAATGTTACTTAATTTTTTTCAAGAATTTTACATCTCAGTTACAGTAGATTACTACATTCCTTCAGGCATCTCTTGTTCACTTGATTTCATACTGATACTTTCAGGAAAGGCTGGCAAAAATGTAATAGACCAGTGAGTTGCTTTACCTTGATACTATAAGTATACAAAAAGCTATCATGTGAAGAGATGTCATTCCAGTGACTTGCTTTCTCTGAAGGGCATCATTCCTTTCTCTCTATTGAGCATGAATCATGAATATTAGAAATATTCCTTCAGTCTCCCAGCGTTACAGGGAAACTGAAATCGTTGATATAGTCAGCTCAATAATTAATCTTCTTTTTTATTTGTAAAGGTTACTGATGAGGTTTTATAGAATCTGGGAAAACAATATGAATATTTTCAGCAGAAAGAGTATGCATAGAGAGCATTTATGGTTTAGAATGAAAATGTAGAACTACACTTGTTTGCTTTATCAGAGAAATTGGGAGTTCCCAATATTTTATTTTAGAGAGTTAAATTTGGTATGTTGAGGCCCAAGGTTTAGAACCAGATGCTGCCTTAATGTCTTGGGTAAGTCTCTCTAGGTAGTTACTCATTCTTGGAAAAAAAGAGTCATACCATTTTGGTAGTTAAAATAATGCAGTTTATTTGCAAGATGCGAATAATACTTTGCTGAAATTGCTCATGCATGTTGCCTTAAAGACTGTGACAATTTCTTTAATTTAGGGCCTTGGAAAGACTTACTGACCTAATCAAACAACTCAAAAACAAGAACAACATTTCTATAAAATGAAAATGTGCTTACCTCCTGATTTTCTGTTAACATGCTGGGGGGAGAAATTCTAGGGAATCTGATAATTTCCATAGGAATCTGGTAATTCAGCTCATCTAGAGTGATGTGTACCATGTAAGGAATAGTGATCAAGAGATGGTCTTATGCCAAATGAATCTTCCCTGTTATTTCCTTCTGTTTACTCTCCCATGGAAAGAGAATGTCTGCTTTAACTCTGACCTCATCAAAATTCCGTTTAGAGTTGGAGATAGTGTTACATTATGAGCCTTTCTCCCAGAGGCAAAATAGTCAAGCTCTATTTAATCTTTTCGTATAACGTATTGCTTCAGCCATTTACAAAGAAGTACATGTGTATGACAAATGGCCAACAAACGTGAAAAAATGCTCAGCATCACTAACTATAAAGGCAAATTAAAACCACAATGAGGTACCACCTTACTCCTGCAAAAATGGCCATAATTCAAAAATAAAAAATAGTAGATGTTGGCATGGATGTGGTGAAAAGGAAACACTTTTACCCTGATGGTGGGAATGTAAACTAGTACAACCAATATGGAAAACAGTATGGAGATTCCTTAAAGAACTAAAAGTAGAGCTACCATTCAATCCAGCAATCCCACTACTGGATATCTACCCAAAAGAAAAGAAGTCATTATGTGAAAAAGACACTTGCACACTCATGTTTATAGCAGCACAATTTGCAGTTGCAAAAATATGGAACTAATCCAAATGTCCATCAACCAATGAATGGGTAAAGGAAATGTGGCATATATACACCATGGAATACTACTCAGTTGTAAAAAGAAACAAAATAATGGCATTTGCAGCAACTTGGATGGAGTTGGAGACCGTTATTCTAAGTGAAGTAATTCAGGAATGGAAAACCAAATATCATGTGTTCTGACTTATAAGTGGGAGCTAAGCTATGAGGATGCAAAGGCATAAGAATGATATTATGGACTATGGGGACTTGGGGAGAAGGGGGAAAAGGGCTTGGGATAAAAGAGTACACATTGGGCACAGTGTACACTGCTCAGGTGATGGGTACACCAAAATCTCCTAAATCACCACTAAAGAACTTCTCCATGGAATCAAAAACTACCTGCTCCCTGAAAAGTATTGAAATAAATTTTTTTATAGATAAGTAGATACAAAAGTATTTTTATTATTTTATTAATTTTGTGGGTACATAGTAGGTACATATATTTATGAGGTACATGAGATGTTTTGATATAGGCATGCAGTGTGAAATAAGCACATCATGGAGAATGGGGTATCCATCCCCTCAAGCATTTATCCTTTGAGTTAAAAATAATTCAGTTAAACTCTTTATTTTAAAATGTAGGGGGTTATTATTGACTGTAGTCACCCTGTTGTGCTATCACATAGATCATATAGTAGGTCTTGTTCATTTTATTTTTTTTTTATACCCATTAACCATCCCCACCTCCTCCCCAGCCCCCGACTACCCTTCCTAGCCTCTGGTAAGCATCATTCTACTCTCTATGTCCATGAGTTCATTTTTAAAAAAAATTTTTAAATCCCAAAAATGAGAACATGTAATGTTTGTCTTTCTGTGTCTGGCTTATTTCATTTAACATAATGACCTCCAGTTCCAGCCGTGTTGTTGCAAATGACTAGATATCATTCTTTTTCATGGCTGCATGATACTCCATTGTGTGTATGTACTACATTTTCTTCATTCTTTCATCTACTGATGGACATTTAGGTTGCTTCCAGATCTTAGCTATTGTAAACAGTGCTGCAGCCAACATAGAAGGGCAGATATCTCTTTGATATACTACTTTCCTTTATTTTGGGTATATACCCAGCAGTAGGATTTCTGAATCATATGGTAATCAATTTTTAGTTTTTTAAGGAACCTCCAAACTGTTCTCCATAGTGGTTGTACTAATTTACATGCCCACCATCAGTGTATGAGGGTTCTCTTTTCTCCACATCCTTGCCAGCATTTGTTATTGCCTGTCTTTTGGATATAAACCATTTTAACTGGAATAAGATGATATCTCATTGTAGTTTTGATTTGCATCTCGCTAATGATCAGTGATGTTGACCTTTTCATATGCCTGTTTGCCATTTGTATGTCTTTTGAGAAATGTCTATTCAAATCTTTGCCCATTTTTGATTGGATTATTAGATTTTTTTTCTATAGAGTTATTTGAGCTCCTTATGTATTCTGGTTATTAATCCCTTGTCAGATGGCTAGCTTGCACATATTTTCCTTCTATTCTGGGGGTTGTCTCTTCCCTTTGTTGACTCTATACTTTGCTCTGCAGAAGCCTTTTAACTTGTTGTGATCCCATTTGTCCATTTTTGCTTTGGCTGCCTGTGGTTGTAGGGTATTTTTCAAGGAATTTTTGCCCAGACCAATGTGCTGGAGATTCTCCCCAATATTTTCTTGTAGTACTTTTATAGTTTGAGGTCTTAGATTTAAGTATTTACTCCATTTTGATTTGATTTTTGTATATGGTAAGAGATAGGGGTATAGTTTTATTCTTCTGCATATGGATATTCAGTTTTCTCAGCACCATTTATTAAAGAGACTGTCTTTTCCTCAGTGTATGTTTTTGGCACTTTTGTCATAAATGAGTTCACTGTAGGTGTGTGGATTTGTTTCTAAGTTCTTTTTTCTGCTCCACTGGCCTATGTGTCTGTTTTTATGCCAGTACCATGCTGTCTTGGTTATTATCGCTCTGTAATATAATTTGAAGTCAGGTAAAGTCATTCTTCCAATTTTGTTCTTTTTGCTTAGGACAGCTTTGGCTATTCTGGGTCTTTTGTGGTTTCATATACATTTTAGGATTTTTTATATTTTTGTAAAGAATGTCATTGGTATTTTGTTAGGATTTACATTGAATCTGTAGAATTCTTTGGGTAGTATGGACTTTTTAATAATTTTAATTTAATAATTTAATTTAATAATTTTAATAATATTGATTCTTCCAATCCATGAACATGGAATATTTTTTAATTTTTTAGTGTCTTCTTCAATTTCTTTTATCAGTGTTTCATAGTTTTTCTTATAGAGATCTTTCACTTCTTTGGTTAATTCCTAAGTACTTAATTTTACATGTGGCTATTGTAAATGAGATTACTTTTTAATTTCTTTTTCACATTGTTCACTGTTGGCATATAGAAATGCTACTGATTTTTGTATGTTGATTTTGTATCCTGCAACTTTACTGAATTTGTTTATTCTGATAGTTTTTATTTTGTGGAGATCAAATATAAGATTTTTTTTTATTATACTTTAAGTTTTAGGGTACATGTGCACAAGGTGCAGGTTTGTTACGTATGTGTATAAATGTGCCATGTTGGTGTGCTGCACCCATTAACTCTTCATTTAATATTAGGTTTATCTCCTAATGCTATCCCTGCCCCCTCCCCCGACCCCACCACAGGCCCCAGTGTGTGATGTTCCCCTTCATGTGTCCATGTGTTCTCATTGTTCAATTCCCACCTAAGAGTGAGAACATGAAGTGTTTGGTTTTTTGTCCTTGAGATAGTTTGCTGAGAATGATGGTTTCCAGCTTCATCCATGTCCCTACAAAGGACATGAACTCATCATTTTTTATGGCTGCATGGTATTCCATGGTGTATATGTGCCACATTTTCTTAATCCAGTCTATCATTGTTGGACATTTGGGTTGGTTCCAAGTCTTTGCTATTGTGAATAGTGCCACAATAAACATACATGTGCATGTGTCTTTATAGCAGCATGTTTTATAATCCTTTGGGTATATACCCAGTAATGGGATGGCTGGGTCAAATGAAATTTCTAGTTCTAGATCCCTGAGGAATCGCCACACTGACTTCCACAATGGTTGAACTAGTTTACAGTCCCACCAACAGTGTAAAAGTGTTCCTATTTCTCCACATCCTCTCCAGCACCTGTTGTTTCCTGACTTTTTAATGATTGCCATTCTAACTGGTGTGAGATGGTATCTCATTGTGGTTTTGATTTGCATTTCTCTGATAGCCAGTGATGATGAGCATTTTTTCATGTGTCTTTTGGCTGCATTAATGTCTTCTTTTGAGAAGTATCTGTTCATATCCTTCACCCACTTGTTGATGGGGTTGTTTGTTTTTTTCTTGTAAATTTGTTTGAGTTCATTGTAGATTCTGGATATTAGCCCTTTGTCAGATGAGTAGGTTGCGAAAATTTTCTCCCATTTTGTAGGTTGCCTGTTCACTCTGATGGTAGTTTCTTTTGCTGTGCAGAAGCTCTTTAGTTTAATTAGATCCCATTTGTCAATTTTGGCTTTTGTTGCCATTTGTTTTGGTGTTTTAGACATGAAGTCCTTGCCCATGCCTATGTCCTGAATGGTATTGCCTAGGTTTTCTTCTAGAGTTTTTATGGTTTTAGGTCTAACATTTAAGTCTTTAATCCATCTTGAATTAATTTTTGTATAAGGTGTAAGGAAGGGATCCAGTTTCAGCTTCCTACATATGGCTAGCCAGTTTTCCCAGCACCATTTATTAAATAGGGATTCCTTTCCCTATTTCTTGTTTTTGTCAAGTTTGTCAGAGATCAGATAGTTGTAGATATGCGGCATTATTTCTGAGGGCTCTGTTCTGTTCCCTTGGTCTATATCTCTGTTTTGGTACCAGTACCATGCTGTTTTGGTTACAGCCTTGTAGTATAGTTTGAAGTCAGGTAGCGTGATGCCTCCAGCTTTGTTCTTTTGGCTTAGGATTGACTTGGCAATGTGGGCTCTTTTTTGGTTCCATATGAACTTTAAAGTTGTTTTTTCCAGTTCTGTGAAGAAAGTCATTGGTAGCTTGATGGGGATGGCATTGAATCTATGAATTACCTTGGGCAGTATGGCCATTTTCAAGATATTGATTCTTCCTACCCATGAGCATGGAATGTTCTTCCATTTGTTTGTATCCTCTTTTATTTCGTTGAGCAGTGGTTTGTAGTTCTCCTTGAAGAGGTCCTTCATGTCCCTTGTAAGTTGGATTCCTAGGTATTTTATTCTCTTTGAAGCAATTGTGAATGGGAGTTCACTCATGATTTGGCTCTCTGTCTGTTATTGGTGTATAAGAATGCTTGTGATTTTTGCACATTGATTTTGTATCCTGAGACTTCGCTGAAGTTGCCTATCAGCTTAAGGAGATTTTGGGTTGAGACGATGGAGTTTTCTAGATATACAATCATGTCATCTGCAAACAGGGACAATTTGACTTCCTGTTTTCCTAATTGAATACCCTTTATTTCCTTCTCCTGCCTGATTGCCCTGGTCAGAACTTCCAGCACTATATTGAATAGGAGTGGGGAGAGAGGGCATCCCTGTCTTGTGCCAGTTTTCAAAAGGAATGCTTCCAGTTTTTGCCCATTCAGTATGATATTGGCTATGGGTTTGTCATGGATAGCTCTTATTATTTAGAGATACGTCCCATTGATACCTAATTTATTGAGAGTTTTTAGCATGAAGGGTTGTTGAATTTTGTCAAAGGCCTTTTCTGCATCTGTTGAGAAATCATATGGTTTTTGTCTTTGGTTCTGTTTATATGCTGGATTACATTTATTGATTTGCATATATTGAACCAGCCCTGCATCCCAGGGATGAAGCCCACTTGATCATGGTGGATAAGCTTTTTGATGTGCTGCTGGATTCGGGTTACCAGTATTTTATTGAGATCTTATCATCTGCAAACAGGATAATTTGATTTCTTCCTTCCAAATTTGGATGGTGTTTATATCATTCTCTTGTTTGATTGTACTAGCTAGGATTCCAGTACTATGTCAAATAATGGTGGTGAAAGTGGATATCCTTGTTATGTTCCAGATATTAGAGGAAAGGTTTTCAGTTTTCTCCATTCAGTTGATACTAGCTATGGGTCTGTCATATGATTTTTTATCATGTTGGGGTATGCTCCTTCTATACCCAGTTTTTGAGGGTTTTTAGCACGAAGGGATGTTGAATTTTATCAAATGCTTTTTCTGCACAATTGAAATGATCATTTTTTTTTGTTCTTCATTTGGTTGATATAATGTATTACACTGATTGGTTTGCCTATGTTGAACCATCCTTGCATCCCAGGGATAAATCCCGCTTGGCCATGATAATCTCTCTTTTTTTTTTTTTGATAATCTTTCTAATGTGTTGTTGAATTCAATTTGCTAGTATTTTTTTGAGGATTTTTGCATTAATATTAATCATAGATATTGTCCTGTAGTTTTCTTTTTTGATGTGTCTTTGTCTGGTTTTGGTATCACGGAAATATTGGCCTTGTAGAATTAGTTTGGAAGTATTCCCTCCTCCTCTATTTCCTGGAATAGGTGGGGTAGGGTTGGTATTAGTTCTTTAAATGTTTAGTAGAATTCAGCAGTGAGGCCATTGAGTGTCAGGCTTTGCTTTACTGGGAGACTTGTTATTACAGCTTCAATCTCATTACTTGTTACTGGTCTATTCAGCTTTTTGATTTCTTCTTGGTTCAATCTTGGTAGGTGGTATGTGTATGGGAATTTTCCATTTCCTTTAGTTTTTCTTTATTATTTGTTTTCTACCAATTTTGGGTTTGGTTGAGTTTCATTGTTAGTTTATTTTTCTTTTCCTTTTTTTTTTTTTTTTTTGAGACAAGAGTTTTGCTGTATCTCCCAGGCTGGAGTGCAGTGGCATGATCTTGGTTCACTGCAACCTCCGCCTCCTGAGTACAGGCGTATCTCATGCCTCAGCCTCTCAAGTAGCTGGGACTACAGGTACATGCCTGGCTAATTTTTGTATTACTTTTTAGTAGAGATGGGGTTTCACCATGTTGGCAGGCTGATCTCGATCTCCTGGTCTCCAGTGATCCCCCCGCCTCGGCCTACCAAAGTGCTGGGATTATAGGCATGAGCCACTGTACCCAGCCTTTTCCTCTTTTTTGATTTATTCACTTACAGCTATAAAATTCCCTCTTTATACTGCTTTTAGTGTATCACATAGGTTTTGATATGTTGTGTTTCCATTATCATTTGTTTCAAGAAATTTTTACATTTCCTTAATTTTTTCTTTAACCTACTGGTCATTCAGGAGCATATTTTTTAATTTCTATGTATTTGTACACGTTCCAAAATTCCTGTTACTAATTTTTAGTTTTATTTCATTGTGGTCAAAGAATATGCTTGATATTACTTCAGAATTTTTGAATATTTTATGACTTGTTTTGTGACCTAAATATGGACAGTTATTGAGAATGATCCAAAGAATGTGTATTTTATAGCTCCTGGATGAAATGTTCTGTAAATATCTATTAGATCCATTTGGTCTATAGTGCAGATTAAGTCTGATGTTTCTTTGTTGATTTTCTGTCTGGAAGATCTGCCCAGTGCTGAATGTGGGATGTTGAAGTCTCTAGCTATTATGGTACTATGGTGTATCTCTTTCTTTACCTTTAATAATATTTGCTTTATATATCTATGTGTTCCAGTGTTGAGTTCATATATATTTAATATTATTATATCCTCTTGCTGAATTGACCTCATTATCATTATATAGTGACTTTCTTTGTGTCTTCTTGCAGTTTTTTCTGGAAATCCATTGTGTCTGATATAAGTATAGCAACTCCTGTTTTTTTTTGTTTTGGTTTCCATTGACGTGGAGTATCTTTCTCCATCCTTTGTTTTTAGCCTATGTGTGTCTTTATAGGTAAAGTGTGTTTCTTGTAGGCAACAGATCAATCAGTCTTGTTTTTTCATCCATTCTGCCAGTCTGTGTCTTTTGATTAGAGAGTTTAGTCCATTTACATTCAATGTTATTATTGGTAAGTATGGACTTACTCCTGCCCTTTTGTTATTTGTTTTCTGGTTGTTTTGTGGTCTTCTATTCCTTCTTTCCTTCCTTTTTGTCTTCCTCTAGTGAAGATTATTTCATCTGATTTAGTTTTTTGCTTTTTATTTTTTGTGTTTAAGGTTATCATGAGGCTTGCAAATATTATAACCCATTATTTTAACACAATAACAGCACTATTTGCATAAGCAAGGAAACAAGCAAACAGAAAACTAATAAGAACTCTATGCCTTAACTTTGTACCCCCACTTTTAATCATTTTGTTGTTTCTGTTTATATCTTATTGTACTGACTATGCCTTGAAAAGTGGTTGTAGTTACTATTTTTGATTGGTTAATCATTTACTCTTCTACTTAGGGTAGGGGTAGTTTACACACCATAGTTACAGTGTTATAATATTCTGTGTTTTTCTATGTATTTACTATTAACAGTGAGTTTTGTACCTTCAGGTGATTACTTATTATTGATTAATATCATTTTCTTTCTGATTGAAGTACTTCCTTTAGCATTTCTTGCAGGAAAGGTCTAGTGTTGATGAAATGCCTCAGCTTTTGTTTGTCTGGGAATGTCTTTGTTTCTCCTTCATGTTTGAAGGATATTTTCACTGGATATACTATTTTATGGTAAAAGTTTTTTGCCTTCAGCACTTGAAATATGTCATGCCCCTCTCTCCTGGCCTGTAAGCTTTCCACTGAAAAGTCTGCTGCCAGATATATTGCAGCTCCACTGTATGTTATTTGTCTCTTTTCTCTTGCTGCTTTTGTTTTATTTATTTTTTGTAGAGATGGGGTCTCACTGTGTTATCCAGCTTGTTCTCAAACTCCTGGGCTCCAAAAGCTTCTTAAGCTGATAAACAACTTGAGCAAAGTCTCAGGACACAGAATTAATTTGCAAAAATTGCCAACATTCCTATACACCAAGAGTGGGCGATCCAAGAGCTAAATCATGAGTGAACTTCCATTCATAATTAACACAAAAAGAATAAAATACCTAAGAATACAGCTAACAAGGGAAGTAAGGACCTCTTCAAGGAGAACTACAAACCACTGCCCAGAGAAATCAGAGATGACATAAACAGATGGAAAAACATTCCATGCTCATGGATGGGAAGAATTAGTATCTTTAAAACGCTAATACTGCCCAAAGCAATTTATAGATTCAATGCTTTTATTATTAAACTGCCATTACATTCTTCACAGAATTAGAAAAAAAGTATTTTAAAATTCCTATGGAACAAACGAAGAGCATAAATAGCCAAGGCAATTCTAAGCAAAAAGAACAAAGCTGGAGGCATCACAGTACCTGACTTCAAACTATACTACAGGGCTACAGTATCCAAAACAGCATGGTACTGGTACAAAAACTGACACAAAGACCAATGGAATAGATAGAGAAACCAAAAATAAGACCATACACCTACAATCATCTGATCTTCAACAAATCTGACCAAAACAGACTGTGGAGAAAGGATTTCCTATTAAATAAATGGTACTGGAAGAACTGGCTAACTGTATGCAGAAAATTGAAACTGGATTCCTTTCTTATACCATATACAAAAATCAAGATAGATTAAAGACTTAAATGTAAACCTTAAAACTATAAAACCCTGAAAGAAAACCTGGTCATACCATTCGGGACATAGGCATGGGCAAAGATTTCATGATGAAGATGCCAAAAACAGTCGTGACAAAAGCAAAAATTGACAAATGAGATCTAATTAAACTAAAGAGCTTCTGCACAGCAAAGGAAACTCTCAACAGAGTAAACAGACAGCCTACAGAATGGGAGAAAATTTCTGTAATCTATGCATCTGACAAAGGTCTAATATCCAGCATCTATAAGAAACTTAAATTTACAAGAAAAAAGAATAACTCTTTTAAAAAGCGGGCAAAGGACATGAACAGACACTTCTCAAAAGAAGACATACATGCAGCCAACAAACATATAAAAAAAAAGCTCAACATCACTGATTAGAGAAATGCAAATCAAAACCACAATGAGATACCATCTCACGCTAGTCAGAATTGCTATTATTAAAAATTCAAAAAATAACATGCTGGTGAGGTTGTGGAGAAAAAGGAATGCTTTTACACTATTGGTGGGAGTGTATATTAGTTCAACCATTATTGAAGACAGTGTGGTGATTCCTTAAAGACCTACAAACAGAAATACCATTTGACACAGCAATCCTATTACTGGGTATGCACCGTAAGGAATAGGAATCGTTCTGTTATAAAGACACATGCACATGTATGTTCATTGCAGCACTACTTACAATAACAAAGACATGGAATCCAGTTAAGTGCCCATCAGTGATAGACTGGATAAAGAAAATGTACATATACACCATGGTATACTATGCAGCCACAAAAAAGAATGAGATCATGTCCTTTGCAGGGACATGGATGGAACTGGAGGCCATTATCCTTAGCAAAGTAATGCAGGAACGGAAAAACACATACCACATGTTCTCACTTATAAGTGAGAGCTAAATGATAAGAATACATGGACACAAGGGGGAAACAACATACACTGGGGCCTATTGGAGGATGGTGGGTGGGAGGAGGGAGTGAATTAGGCAGAATAGCTAGTGGATTCTGGGCAATACTTGGGTGATGGGATGAACTGTGCAGTAAACCACCATGGCAAATGTTTACCTATGTAACAAACCTGCATATTGGGCATACATACCCCTGAAGCTAAAATAAACGTTGGAAATAAAACAAAAACTGGGCTCAAGTGATCCCTTGCCTTGGTCCCTCAAAGTACTGGGATTACAGGTGTGACCGCTATCCTCAGCCTCTTGCTGCTTTCAGGATCCTTTCTTTATCTGTGACCTTTTGGTGTTTAATTATTAAATGCCTTGAGGTAGTCTTTTTTGGGTTAAATTTGCTTGGCGTTCTGTAACCTTCTTGTACTTGGATACTTATATCTTTCTCTAGGTTTGGGAAGTTCTCTGTTATATCCCTTTGAATAAAGTTTCTACCCCGTCTCTTTCTCTACCTCTTCTTTAAGCCCAATAACTCTTAGATTTTCCCTTTTGAGGCTGTTTTCTAGCTCCTGTAGCCATGCTTAATCATTTTGTATTCTTTTTTCTGTTATCTCCTCTGACTGTGTATTTTCAAATAGCCTGTCTTCAAGCTCACTAATTTTTTCTTCTGCTTGACTAATTCTGCTATTAAAGGACTCTGGTGCAGTATTCAGTATGCCAATTGCATTTTTTTTTTTTTTTTTTTTGAGATGGAGTCTCACTCTATCACCCAGGCTGGAGTACAGTGGTGCAATCTTGGCTCACTGCAACCTCCGCCTACCGGATTCAAGCGATTCTCATGCCTCAGCCTCCCAGGTAGCTGGGATTACAGGCACATACCACCATGCCTGGCTAATTTTTTGTATTTTTAGTGGAGACGGGGTTTCACCGTGCTGGCCAGACTGGTTTCAAACTCCTGGCCTCAAGTAATCTGCCCACCTCGGTCTCCCAAAATGCTGGGATTACAGGCGTGAGCCACTGTGCCTGGCCGCCAGTTGCATTTTTTGGCTCCAGAATTTCTGCTTGATTTCTTTTAATTATTTCAATCTCCTTGTTAAATTTAGCTGGTATAATTCTGAATTCCTTCTCTGTATTATCTTGAATTCCTTGAGTTTCCTCAACACAGCTATTTTGAACTCTTTGCCTGAAAAGTCACATATGTGTGTTTCTCCAGGATTGGTCCCTGGTTCCTTATTTAGTTCATTTGGTGAAGTCATGTTTTCCTGGATGGTGTTGATGCTAGTAGGTGTTCTTTGTGTCTGGGCATGGAAGAGTTAGATATTTATTGTAGTCTTCACTGTTTGGGCTTATTTGTACCCATCCTTCTTGGGAAGGCTTTCCAGACATGTGAAAGAACTTGGGTGTTGTGATCTAAGCTGTATCTGCTTTAGGGGCACCCAAAGCCCAGTAACGCTGTGGTTCTTGCAGATTCATATAGGTACCACCTTGATGGTCTAAGATCTGGAAGAATTCTCTGGATTACCAGGTAGAGACTCTTGTTCTCTTCCCTTACTGTCTCCCAGATACATAGCCTCTGTCTTTGTTCTGAGTCACCTAAAGATGAGGGTGGAGTGACACAAGCACCCCTGTGGCCACCCTCACTATGATTGCGCCGGGTAAGACCTGAGGCCAGCACAGTGCTGGATCTCGCTCAAGGTCTGCTCTAACCACTCCCTGGCTACTGCCTGTTTACTCAAGGCCCTTAGGCTCTACAGTCAGTCGACGGCAAAGCCAGCCAGGCCTGTGTCCTTCCCTTCAGGCCAGGGAGGTCCCCCAGGCCCCAGGTGGGTCGAGAGGTACCGTTCACAAACGGTCTAAAGTCTAAAACCTCAGAAGTCTACTTGGCATTCTGTTGTACTGAGGCTGAGCTGCCACTCAAACCACAAGATGCAGTTCCTCCCACTCTAACCTTCCCTTTCCAAAGACGGGAGCCTCTCTTTTTAGCCACCACCACCCCAGGCCACAAGGAGTACTGCCTGACTACTGTTGATGTTCCCTGAAGATCCAAGGGTTCTTAAGTCAGCTTGTGGTGAATGCTGCCTGGCCTGGGACTCACCCTTCAGGGCAGTGGGCTCCCCTCTGACCCAGGGCAGGTCCAGAAATGCCATCCAGAAGTCAAGTCCTGGAGTCGGGGACCCCAGGAGCCTGCTTGGTGTTCTACCTTCCTGTGACCATGCTGGTACCTGAATCCAGGAAGTCTCAGAGGCTGACTCAGGGCCCTCGGCATAGTACCTGGGTATCCAAGCTGTTTATTCAGGGCCCAAGGGCTCTTCAGTTAGCAGGTATTGAATACTGCCAGGACTGGGTTCTTTTCTTCAAGGCAGCAGGTTCCCTTCTGGCGATTCTCATGCCTCAGCCTCCCAAGTAGCTGGGATTACAGGCACTCACCACCAAGCCTGACTAATTTTTTGTATTTTTAGTAGAGACGGGGTTTCACCATGCTGGCCAGGCTGGTCTCAAACTCCTGGCCTCAAGTGATCTGCCCACCTCGGCCTCCCAAAATGCTGGGATGACAGGCGTGAGCCACTGCACCTGGCCGCCAATTGCATTTGGCGCCAGGGTATGTCTACAAACGTTGTCTGGGGCCAGGCACAATGGCTCACACCTGTAATCCCAGCACATTGAGAGGCCGAGGCAGGCGGATCACCTGAGGTCAGGAGTTTGAGACCAGCCTGGCCAATATGGCGAAACCCTATCTCTACTAAAAATACAAAAAATTAGCTGGTTGTGGTGGTGGGCACCTGTAATCCCAGCTACTTGGGAGGCTGAGGCAGGAGAATTACTTGAACCCGGGAGGTGGAGGTTGCAGTGAGCCAAGGTCGCACCATTGCACTCTAGCCTGGGCGACAGATTAAGTCTGTCCCCCCACCAAAAAAAAAAAAATTTGTCTGGGAGGTGGGGCCTGGAACGGGGGCCTCACAACAGTGAGCATTACCCTCTCCCACTGTGGCTGAGCTGGTATCCAAGATGCAAGACAAAGCCCTTCCCATTTTTTCCTCTCGTCTTCTCAAGCAGAAGGAAGGGGTCTCTTTTGGAGCCCCAGCTGTGCTTGCCAGCACTCACTTGGCTGCCACAGCTGGTGTCTCAGTATGTCATGTGAGCCCCCATTCCATTGTCTCTGGGCCTAGTTCAGCACTAGGACTTGCCTAATTGTCACAGTCCTTATGGCCTAAACTGCCTTTCAAGTTCACTGAGAGTCACAGAGTGCTGTAGGCCTTGGTGGTGAGAACTCAAGTTCAGACTGCTGGGATAAGTGATTCCCTTCTGACTAGGGCTGATTTAAATGCTCCCTCCATGGATGGGTATCAGCTGAGTTTGGTCTTTTTTTTTCCTGCTCTAACAGGACAGCATTGAGTTCAGTGTGTCACAATTGCTGTGTTTTCTTTCCCACAGTGCCCAGAGATGCTCTCTGCAACATGCCGCTGCTGTAGGAGACGGGGGTGGGTGGGGGGTGGCATCAGGGATTCAAGACTGTTTTTTCTATCTCTTTAGTGCCTCTTTTCAGCAATACGAAGATAAAACCAGGTACTGAGAGCTCACCTAAGTTTTGGTTCTTATGAAGGTGTTTTCTCTGTGTAGATAGTTGTTAAATTGGTGTCCTTGAAGAGGGTAGTGGGGAGGATGATCAGTGGAGTCTTCTATTCCATTATCTTAGTTGGCCTTGGGCCAATATATATATTTTAACATGCAAACAAGCTGTATTGGTCAGTGCAGAAAATTAAGTTGCAGAACAATATAAATAGTATAATGACACCTAGAAAATAATGTATATGTGTGTGTGTATATATATATGTGTGTGTGTGTGTGTGTATTTTATTGATATGTAGAAATAGTCCCAGAATCATGCACATTACACTTTCAACCATTGTTAGCTGTGGTAAAGGGAGGAGAGTTTGGAAGGGAGGAAGTAATAAGGCTAAGTACAGCTCTGTAAGAACGTATTTAAGTTGACATTGGTATATTTTAACAGTGCATAAAGTGGCCAAGTGCAATGGCTCATACCTATAATCCCAGCACTTTGGGAGGCTGAGGTAGGCGTATTGCTTGAGCCCAGGAGTTCGAGACCAGCCTGGGCAACATAGTGAGACCTCTTCTCCACAGTAAATCAAAAAATTAGCCTGGCATACAGCTGTGGTTCCAACTACTTGGGAGACTGAGGTGGGAGGATTGCTTGAGCCCAGGTTGTTGATCATGCCATGATAGACCCTGTGACCATGATCACACCACTGTACTACAACCTGGGCGACAGAGCAAGACCCTGTCTCAAAAAAAAAAAAAAGGGAAAATTGGATACAATAATAAGTGTACATTGCAGAATATTTGGAAAACTTAAGAGACAGTAAAATGCATCAGTAATTTTATCACTTAAAGGTGACTACTGTCATTCTATTTTGTATCCTTCTGGTTGGCTTTCTGTTCCAATATTAGCATATGACTGTAAAGGAACACTTAAAAGTGGTCTCCAACCTTTTTGGCACCCCAGACTAGTTTCATGGAAGACGATTTTTCCACAGACGGGTGGGGGGCTGGGGGGTAGGTGGGTGGTAGGTGGTTTCGGGATGAAACCATTTCACCTCAGATCATCAGGCATTAGATTCTCATAAGGAGCACACAGCCTAGATCCTTCACATGCGCAGTTTACAATAAGGTTCACACTCCTATGAGAATCCAGTGCTGTGACTGATCTGACAGGAGGAGGAGGCAGAGCTCAGCCAGTAATGCTCACTTGCCCTCCACTCACCTCCTGCCGTGCGCTGGATTCCTAACCAATCCATGGCCCTGGGGGTGGGGGATCCATGGTATATATGGTACCTATTTCATTTAACATTCTAAGTTGTGCTCCATTGAACATTGTCTTACCTAAATGATTGTGCACATCTAACCATTTCTAAAGATAAATTTTCAGAAGTGGGTTCATGGGAAGAAAAACACAAGAATGTTTTAAATTCTTTTGTATATAATGCCAAAGTGCCTTCTAGAAAAGTTCATGTCCACATCCACCAGTAGTATTTCAGAGTGTCTATCTTACTGCATACTGCCAGGATCAGATATTCTATTAATCTTTGTTAATTTGATGGATCAAAAAGACTTTGTGTTTTAATTTACATTTCTTTACGAGTAACATAGAGAGAGAGAGAGAGTGTGTGTGTGTGTGTGTGTGTGTGTATATATATATATATGCTTTTGTTCCAGGCCTAATATATATTTATTAGGCCTGGGACAAAAGCTTTAGTGAACCAAATTTAATAAAGCTTTGGCATAAATTGAAGGAAGGTACAGTAATATACTGAGGCTGCTTTCAATAAAAACAGCAGAACATGTATGTTCAAATTAATGCTTGTCCCTTCAAAATACTAATTAAAATCAACTCCATTGATGCACCATTGCTTAAGACATCTTGGGAATCTTGTGTTTGGTCTGACTTCTGAAGCACCTTTGGTTTCTTTAGGATTTCCCTAGTGGTGGCATGACTCCAGCTTTTGCTGATGGGCTCAGAATTTGGAAGTTTAAGAAATAAGATAACCCAAACTTAATAATGCCATTTTTTCTTTTCATTTTATGAAGGGATAGCTATTGGCCTGGTGTGCTGGCTCATGTCTGTAATCCTAGCAGTTTGGGATGCTAAGGTGGGATGATCACTTGATGTCAGGAGTTCAAGACCAGCCTGAGCAATGTAGTGAGACCCCATCTCCACAAAAAAAGACGGGAAGATAACTATGAATAAATTGTTTCTTTTTTTTAAAAATGACTTACAAATAGGCTCTGAAGGTGGTTTGTTTATGCAGAAACATTTGCAGAATATCCCATTGGGCGTTAGGTGCTATATTGGGCTCTGGGCTTACAATTACAGAAATTTTATAGTCTGTGCTCTCCAGTCTTTTTGGAGAGGTAGTGCCCACATTGAGCACTGAAAGACAAGTAGGGGGATATAAATCTAGATAAGGAGTCAGTCGGACAGAGTGGGGTGAAGGATGTTCAGACAGGGAAACACACATGCAAAAGAGGGAAGGTGGGACACAGCATATGCATCCAACATTTGGTAGGGCCGAGGCCCCACATGGGAGCAGTGAGAGGTTAGGGATCAAGGAAGTAGGCACCAGATCATGAAGGGTCTTGCTAAGACTTTATTCTGAAAGCTTCAGGGAGCCTTTTAAGGATTTCTAGTGGAGTTGTTTCATGATCAGATCTGAACTTAGAAAAACTGACATCTTATTTTTGGAGGACTCATAAGGGTAGGGCAGAAGTGAGGAAAAGAATTAAGCAGCCAGTAATCCAGGCAGCAAGAGGTCTGAGCCTGAGTTCAGTGGCCAGGGCAGGTAGAGAGAAGTGAACAGCAGGACAGCATCATTAAGGAGACTTGGATTGTATGTGGAGGGCAAAGCAGAGGGAGGGGTCTGAGTGGTGAGGGCCAAGTTTTGGAGGAAAGTGGATGATGCTGAGTTGAGTCACCAGGATAGACAGTGTGGAGCCAGGGACAAGAGCGTGATGAAGGAGATGCTCAGGTTTGGTCATGCTGAATTTGAAATGGCTCTGGGAAATTTAAGAAGAGGTGCCGTGTAGATAGTTGGATCAGAGCCTAGGATGTAGACAAAGTCTGGGAACATAGATTTGGGAGCTATGAACACATTCCCCAGGAGAAGTCACAAAAATGTCCCAAGCAGCAGGAGCCTGGTATGGTGCTTGGGTTTCACCCTGATATGCCCTGTTCCTTTCAGGGTATTGCAGTTTCAGGTTGCTCCTGTCTCACACCTAGATATTTTGGCTCTTAGCTTTGATCAGATATAGCTATCAATCCCTGCATCAGTGAACTCACAGGCCACAGCTAAAGATATGCTGTCATTGAAGACAGGTTTGCCCTCTAAATCTAAAAACCAAGTGAGCAATTAGAAATTGTTTAAGTGCCCATTAATAGGAAATAGAATAAATATATTGGGGAAAGTCCATATAATTATTATAGCATAAATTGGATCATGTCATTCCCCCACTGAAAGCATGCTGGTGACTTTCTTTTTGCACCTGGAATACAATCCAGACACCTTAAGACCTTGCATGATCTAACCGTGGCCTATCTCTTTTGGCTTCATCCCATGCCACCTTCCTTCATGCCAGGATCTTCTTTGACTCACTCAGTCACACACTTTCTCATCTCATCCTTTGCTCATGGTGTCCCTTCTCTGTGAACCATCTTATCATTTAGTAGTAACTACTTCTCCTTCAGCTTTCAGCTTAAATGACCTCTCAGGAGAGGGTCCTTTGGATCCCTCCCCACTTCCCACTCCCCTACTCACCTGTGTTTTTACTTTATGATCTCAGTCTGTGATTTTTTTTTTTTTGCCTTTTGTCTGCCCTTCCGTGAGGTTAGGGATTGTAAGTATTATAACCCTAGTACCTGAAACATAGTAGGCACTAAATAAACTTTTTTTTTTAATGAATAATATTTTAGAAGGGGAAATATTTTTGTCTTAATTCAAGCTGCTGTAACAGAGTACCATAAACTGGGTGGTTTAAGGAACAGATATTTATTGCTCACAGTTGTGGAGGCTGGGCAGTCCAAGACCAAGATATAGGCAGAACCAGTGTTTGCTGAAGGCTGGTTTCCCGGTTTGCAGATGGCCACCTTCTCCCTATGTCCTCACATGGTGGAGAGAGAGCAGAGAGAAGAAGAAAGCTATCCTGTCTCTTCTTATAAGGGCACTAATCCCATTCATGAGGACTCTACTCTCATGACCTAATAACCTCCCAATATTATCACATTGCCTCGTAATATTATCACACTGAGGTTAGGATTTCAACATGAATATGGGGGAGACACAAACATTTAGTCTGTAATAATTGATAAGTGAAAAAAGAAAAAAGACATACAAGCATAGAATGATCATTTCCAAAAAAGAAAAATTTCTGTACATATATGTGTGTATTTATATGTTCATATATAACATAGGAAAAAAAGAGAAAGTGTATGACCCAGTCTGTTTCCAACTACATCTGTGCAGTGGGAGTAGGTCAGGACCTTTTATGGCCTATTTTATTTACTTCTATATTATAGTATTTATTTTTATAGTGGGTATGTTTATATTATTAAAAATAAATCCAATTAAAATTTCCAGTCCTTTTAACAATCACATTTGTTTTTATGGCAAATGACTCTAATATGGGCATTTTTTTTTCCAGATTTTCCAGTTAATGAGATACTTGAGATGCAAAATTTGTTTTGATTTAGACCAGTGAATTAAGATTAGGTACTCATTAAACGACTGTGAAAGTCCTTTATAGATAATTTTGCTTTATAGATAATTTAGTGCTTCTAGTGAAACAAATTTAACTGATGGCCTTAGCTTGGCTATTGTTGAAGAATCCTTCACTGTTAGGCTCCCCTGCAAGACTTCCCTCTTCAGCACTTGTTTTTTTTTTTTTATTTTTTTTTATTTTTTATTTTTTTTTTATGTCTATACAAAATATTTATTTTTTTATTATACTTTAAGTTTTAGGGTACATGTGCACATTGTGCAGGTTAGTTACATATGTATACATGTGCCATGCTGGTACGCTGCACCCACTAACTCGTCATCTAGCATTAGGTATATCTCCCAATGCTATCCCTCCCCCCTTCCCCCACCCCACAACAGTCCCCAGAGTGTGATATTCCCCTTCCTGTGTCCATGTGATCTCATTGTTCAATTCCCACCTATGAGTGAGAATACGCGGTGTTTGGTTTTTTGTTCTTGCGATAGTTTACTGAGAATGATGATTTCCAATTTCATCCATGTCCCTACAAAGGACATGAACTCATCATTTTTTATGGCTGCATAGTATTCCATGGTGTATATGTGCCACATTTTCTTAATCCAGTCTATCATTGTTGGACATTTGGGTTGGTTCCAAGTCTTTGCTATTGTGAATAATGCCGCAATAAACATACGTGTACATGTGTCTTTATAGCAGCATGATTTATAGTCCTTTGGGTATATACCCAGTAATGGGATGGCTGGGTCAAATGAAATTTCTAGTTCTAGATCCCTGAGGAGTCACCACACTGACTTCCACAATGGTTGAACTAGTTTACAGTCCCACCAACAGTGTAAAAGTGTTCCTATTTCTCCACATCCTCTCCAGCACCTGTTGTTCCCTGACTTTTTAATGATTGCCATTCTAACTGGTGTGAGATGGTATCTCATTGTGGTTTTGATTTGCATTTCTCTGATGGCCAGTGATGATGAGCATTTTTTCATGTGTTTTTTGGCTGCATAAATGTCTTCTTTTGAGAAGTGTCTGTTCATGTCCTTCACCCACTTTCTGATGGGGTTGTTTGTTTTTTTCTTGTAAATTTGTTTGAGTTCATTGTAGATTCTGGATATTAGCCCTTTGTCAGATGAGTAGGTTGCGAAAATTTTCTCCCATTTTGTAGGTTGCCTGTTCACACTGATGGTAGTTTCTTTTGCTGTGCAGAAGCTTCAGCACTTGTTTACTGGTCACATGCTTTACACAGCACTCTGCTTAGATTTTGCCTTTGAGGTTGGCCATCTCCCTTCAGCTGCTCTGATTTGGAAGAAGGGCGAGGGTTGCAGCTTTCCCTGAGATAGGGTGACCTTTTTTTCCCTTCTGTCTTCACATCCTAATCACACCACTTCTAACTGGATACGAATGTCTTAACTGTGAAAAACTGTGAGTTCTCTGTCAGAAATGAATCTCTAGGGCTTCCCAAGTGGTAATTATTTCCTGTGAGAGTTCTGCTTTTGAAAGTGAGGTTTCTCTCCTTGACCTTTAACCCTCGTTACTCTTCTGTGTTCCCAGTTGGTTCGACTATGCAATGAGGGCGCCCGGAAGATGGAAAGGACTGAGATGATGTACACAATTAACTCCCAGCTGGAATTTAAAATTAAGGTATTCTCGTACCTTGTTCATTACTGTTCTTGCCTATGTTTTTCTCTAAATAGAGAGAGACAGTTGAGGGCAACAAAGTAGATAGGAAATTGCTTTTCAAAGAAGGGTCATAAATTGCTAAGAGGGAGTAGCAGATGCTTCAGGCAATTTTGCTTTTGCTTGTACCAGACAGAGTGACCTTCCTCCAGGCCCTGAAGCCAGGCATTATCTAAGAAGCACTTTTTTTTTTCCAGGAAGACACCAAGCTTAGGGGAATAAATAAAATAATAGAATAGGGTAGTTAAAATAATAGAATTTTAGAATTGAAAGGAGATTCCTTCATTATTCTCAAAATGTTCTGAAAAACAGTAATATTCCATGAGCTGGACCAGTGTTCTCCTAAATTAAATAAGGACACTCCTTTTCTCGTTTACAAAACAGATCGTTAATGGATAATTTTTTTCAAGTTTGTTTTTCTCTCATAATTTTTTTGAATATGTGCTGCTTGTTATTCCTTGTCTGATACTGCTCTTGAGCAGATGACAAGATGAACAAAAAAGAAGAAAATGACAGCTAATGGCAAATCTAGGTCATGGCCATTCTTTTGTTGGCTCATGGCTGAGTTTTTAATGGGAAGTGAGTGCTCACGATTGTGACTCTATTGTTTTATAACTTGTAAATGTAATTAAACAATTTTAAATGACTGGTCATATTTTTCCCTAGTAAAAGTGTTTCTATTTCATGCAGTCAAATTATAGTGATCAGCATTTCATGGTATTCTGTAAAGAGCAGATTCTCTGCCATGTCATGTAGTTTGAGGATTACTGCATGCTTGCTTTGGCAGCATATATACTAGAATTGAGGATCACTGATATAGTCCAGCTACACCCTTTTATTTTATGAATGAGGAAAAGAAACCCAGAGAATAATTGTCAGCAGAGTCACTTGGCTAGTGGTGATAAAATCAGGACTAAGGTCTAGATGTCCTGACTTGCAGGTCAGTGTAAACTCTTCTACTGTAACATTCTGACTCTAATGGTTTAGATGCAGAAACACAAACTGTAAAAGGGAAGAAGATGGGTATTTGCCAAAAACCAGACACACATGCACACACATGCATGCACGCACACTTTAAATAGTTTTAATGTTCTTGTACAGAATTTTATAGCAATTAAAAAACCCATCTTTCTCCCAACTCTCAGAATCTCGTTCTCTCTAATTTGTTTCTAAATATTTTGGAAAGTATATCTGACAAGTTTGTTTTTTGTTTTTTAATTTCCTCCTTTTGAAAGATGAAAAATTCCCTAACCATTTTTCTTTTCCCTTCTTCACTGAAAGTCACTTGGTATAAGATTACTTTAAGAAACTCTGTCTAGGCCGGGCGAGGTGGCTCATGCCTGTAATCCCAGCACTTTGGGAGGCCGAGGTGGGTGAATCACCTGGGGTCAGGAGTTCGAGAGCAGCCTGACCAACGTGATGAAACCCTGTCTCTACTAAAAATACAAAAATTAGCCGGGTGTAGTGGCAGGCACCTGTAATCCCAGCTATTTGGGAAGCTGAGGCAGGAGAATTGCTTGAACCCAAGAGGCAGAGGTTGCATTGAGTTGATATCTCACCACTGCACTCCAGCCTGGGCAAAAGAGCAAGACTCTTAAAAAAAAAAAAAGAAAAAGAAAAAGAAACTCTGTCCAGTACCCAAAATTAATTTGTAATTGAAAAATGCTAACCCCAAGGATCATTAAAAGTAAGTGATTAACTGAGGTCAGGAGATCGAGACCATCCTGGCTAACACAGTGAAACCCCTTTTCTACTAAAAATACAAAAAAATTAGCCGGGCGTGGTGGCGGGCACCTGTAGTCCCAGCTACTCGGGAGGCTGAGGCAGGAGAATGGCATGAACCCGGGAGGCGGAGCTTGCAGTGAGCCGAGATCGTGCCACTGCACTCCAGCCTGGGCGACAGAGCGAGACTCCGTCTCAAAAAAAACAAAAAACAAAAAACAAACAAAAAAGTAAGTGATTAACATCAGTTGAGTTCCTGAGTTTTGGTTGTTTTCATTCAATGATTAAAATATTTGCGAGCATAAAGTATGGATTTACAGTGGAGCACCTCATTTAGAACACTTAGAATTACTAATTATTACTAATTGGAAATACTCGTAAAATCTTAGGACCTTATAATACTATATGAATAACAGTGGACATTTCTATTTAATTTATTTTAATGATGATAAAATAGAGGTTCAATGAGGTTAAATGATTTATCCAAGTACATGGCAAGTATTGTAAGAATAGAGCAGATTTACTGAGCATCTTCCATGTGGAAGGCAGTAGATAAAAACGTGATCATCCCTCCCCTCATAGTCTAGTAGAAGACTGCTGAAAATCAAAGGAGTCAGCAAAGTCTACAGCTGTCACAGTAGCTAGAAGACTATGGAAAATACTGGAAATGGAAGGGAGATGGACAACTCTAAGAGCAAGAGACAGAGAGGGCTGGGGGACTTGGAGCAGTCTGGCAAGGCTTAATGCCAGAGGTGTGTTTGACCTGAATCTTGAAAGGTGAGTTAAGAAGGGCCTTAGAGCAGAAACAAATGCACAGTTTCCACTCCTGTGGCCCAGGAATTGTAAGCATTCAGTGTGGGTAGACTTGGGGTGCAAGAGGAGCAGGGTGGAGCTACAGTAGCAGGCAAACACTCCTGCGGACAGCCCTGTGTACCAAGAGGAGGAGCTGAGTGAGGTCATTTGGGAGCCACCGAAAAGTTCTAAGCAGGGAAGTGAAGCAATCAGATGTGTGTTTAGTAAAGACAACTTCAGCAATGGGGAAAGGCTTTTCCAACTTACTCCAAATCCAGAAGTCATTAAAAGAAAAAAGTCCTAATTAATCTATATAAATTTTTAAAAAATTTCTCTATAGAGGGAAAAAGACCATGAAAAAAGTGAAAAGGCAAATAGCAAACTGGAGAAAAAAATAGTTGCAACTCACATATAGACAAAGGGTAAATATCCCCGATGTATAAAATCAAAATGATAAGAGAAGACCCACTAGTCTACAAGCCAAGGAGCACCAAAGATTGCCAGCAAACTACCAGAAGCTGGGGGAGAGGCCTGGAACAGATTATTCCCTAGCACCTTCTGAGAGCCTGGCCTTGCTGACACTTTCATCTTGGCCTGTCTTCCAAAACTGTGAGACATAAATTCCTGTTGTGTAAAACAAAAAAAAAAAACCACTAGAAAGTTGCAAATTAGAAAACTGCTACCAGAAAAGGAAATCCAAATGATGACAAAGTTTTGAAGATGCTTTATTTCACTCAGAGGAAAATTGCTAATTGAAGATTAGCAGATAAAGATAATGAACTTCACCTTTTAGATTTATAAATAATTCAAAAGTTTGATACCCCATTTTATTGATGGAATTGGAGAAAAAGGCATTTTTATATGTTGCTGGTGGGAAAGATTGTTTTACCCCAATGGTGTGCAATTTGGCAATAACTATCAAAATTACAAATGCAAGTTACTACAACTCAGCAATTTTACTTCTAAGAATTCTACAGATGTACTCATGAATGTATAAAATTAAACACACACTGAGCTATTATTATAGTGTTGTTTGTAATAGTGAAAGATGAGGAAAAACATCTAAATATCTATCAAAGAGGATTAATTAAATAAATTATAGTATACGCAAATAATGTGATACCACTCAAAAGAATAAAGGAGAATTTTAGATACCTATATGGAAAGCTTTCTTATATATTATTAAATGAAAAAAGTAAGGTTTAGATATAAAAAAATACAGTTTGCTTTTGCAGATGAAATATTTGGACAGATGCAGATGAAACTAGTTATTGGTCATTACCCGTGAGGGGCAGTGGTCAGGGAGTGGGCCTTGTCGGGTTGACTGGGTGGAGAGCCACCCACTCACTCAGATAGGAAATTCAGGAGGAGGAACAAGTTTTGGGGGAAGGTAATGAGTTCTATTTTGGCCATATTTGGTTTATGGTATGGCCATAGGTGCTACTACTATGAGAATATTGGTTGCAAATTTACTAAGTAGTGCCATTTTCACATTTATCTGATTTAATTCTCACATGAACCCTATAATGTACCCTTATTATTAACTTCACTTTATAGATGAAGAACCTGAAACTAGAGAGATTAAATTCTTTGCTCAAGGTTATACACCAAGACGTTATAAAGTCTAGATTCAAATCTTTGACTCCAGAGTCCACATTCTTAACAATGACTGTATGATAATGATAATATGGATATTTTTCTAATTTGGAGGAAAGTAAATTTTGTAGGGCATGTGTGTGTGTTTTTCATTGTCATTTCACACGTTTTTTATTTTTAATTTTGCTTATGATTTTCTGGAAGACTGTCAAGTGCTAAACTGCAGTAATATGAGAGGAGATGGAAAGCATCCCTGGATTGGCACTTTGGAAGCTAGTGTAAAGTTAGAGCACAGGCTCCAGAACTGACCTGCCTGAGTTGCAGTAGAAGCTCCACCACTTACTAGCTGTACAACCTTGGGCATCACTTACCTTTTCATGTCTTGGTTTTCTGAACCCTAAAGTGAAGCTGATGATAGTACTTTCCCTCATGGAATTATTTTGAAAATTAAATTATTTAAGAGATATAAAGGGTTTAAATAGACCTGATTTATAGTAAACAAGCAGCAAACATTGTTGATGTGTTTTATCAGAGTAGTTAAATAGATGTGGGTGCATTGAAGAGTGAGTGGGATGTGAAGCAGTTGAAGCAGATTAGACTTTTCATTCCAGAAGCTTGACTATCAAGAGGATAGGGCAGTGATGATAACTAGAGGATTCACAAAGTCAAGGGACCATTTTTTGTGAATAGTCTTCAGGATAGTTTGCAGAAAGGGAGCCAGGAGGGAGAGAATACTAATGAGAGGGGAATAAATCAAGGGAATAAGGCCTTAGAGCTGAAAACAGGGTGTTGAAGACAGGAGAGCTTATCCTCTGAGATGGGAGGAAAGAAAATGATGGTTGTAGAGAAAAAGCTGGTCACTAAACCAAGAAGATCGAAAACCAGAGATTAGTTTGTGTCTCAAATCCAGTGTTTTTTCTCCACTAGAAAACAGCTTTCTTTAAAAGTTGCCTCTACAGAGTTGGGAAGAATTTTGTTTTTTTGTCTTGCGATGGAAAGTTTGACCTTATGAATAAGCACATGGAGAAGTTGAGGTTTCTCAGGCTGCTTTAGGAGACATACATTCAGTGTGATTGAGTGGAGTGGTGGTATGTTAGTTGACAGAAGGCTTTGCTGGTTGCCATTTGGGGGCCTTGCTAACAATGGAAATCCAAGAAAAATCTTTGTGCTGTAGAGGACAGTTTGTTAGTTTCCCAAAAATCTAAACATAAGAGTTACTACTATATGACCCAGCAGTTCCACTCCTAGGTATATACCCAAGAGAACTGAAAAGAGATGTTCAAAAACATATACACAAATCTTCATGGCAGCATTGTTCATAATAGCCAAGAAAGTGAAAATACCCCAAATCAACGGATGAATTGATAAACAAAATGTGATATATGCATATAGTAAAATATTTAGGCACAGAAAGGAATAAAGTTCTTATACATGCCTTGTGGATGAACCTTGGAAATGTTATGCTAGGTGAGAGAAACCAAATTCAAAGATCACATATTGTATAATTCCATTTATATGACACATCCAGTATAGACAAATCCATAGAGTTAGAAAGTAGATTAGTGGTTGCCAGATGCTTGGGGGAGGAAGAGTGGCAGATGACTGCTCAATGCATATGGGGTTTCCTTTTGAGGTAATGAAAATGCTCTGGAATTACATAATGTTGATTATTGAACAATATTATGAACATACTAGAAACCACTGTATTCTACACCCTTTGAAGTGGTGAAATGGTGAATTTCATGTTATGTAAATTTTATCTCAACATTAAAAAAATTATTTGCTCTTCAGCAGCTCTCTCTTTTCTTGCTGCCCCATAAAATTAGTTACATTTTATGCCAAGGCTAGCTTTCTAGGATGCCAGGTAATAGAAAAAAAAAAATGAAATGTCTGTGCTCCATAGGCACAGACTATTTCAGTACTATTTAGGATAGTATTTCAGTACTATTTAGGATATATCTTTGTTCATGAATTTCTTTTCTAGTTTCTGGTTCACACATGGATTCTAGTCTCAGCATTTCCTTACTAGGGGAATTCACTCATGCTCACTTTGGGCTGTTCTGATTTCCTTTATTTGGATCATTTTAATATCTCTTCTTTAATAAAACCTATCTGATTGAGTTCAGTCTTCTAACAATAAATCTGAAACATAAACTATATATAAAATGTTGGGCTTTTGTTTTCAAAAGAAGCATAGATGTATTGAAAGCTTTTGTCAATTTTAGGTGTTTATAGGTAGAAATTTAGTTTTGCCCCTAGTGGAGTATGAGGACTCCATAAAAATGAATCTGCTTTAAAAACAATAAAACAATTTAAAAATCTTTCTTTCTCCACCCCCTAAATCAGAACAGTCACAGGGCAGCATGTGCACTGAAACTTAACCATAATATTGTCCTTGGTTCATCTTGTAGGGTTATACGCAATAGCAAGATAGTCCTGTGTTTCCTGTAATTCCGGCCCTTCAGCCGGACCTACCCTGACACAAGGTGACCTCTTGTATGTGCTGCCTAGTCTGCCGGAGTTATCTAAGCAATCTGTCGACCTTTAAGGTTTCAGCTGTCTCTGTAGGGTAATTGTCTGATTTCGAGATTTTGGGGGTTGGGAACTTCATAAACTCCCTTAGCAGCCAGTTTTGAAAAGTTTGGGGTTAGCCATAATCTTTTATCTTCGTTTTTTGGACCTTCAGGAAAATAGTATATAAATGATAAGCAACCTTCTTATAAAAGCTCTTTATAAAGTTTAAAATAAATATGAAATCCTTTCTTAGCCTTCTCATTTCCTCTCTAATATCCTCAATTTCCTTTAGCTATTTTTAATCATTATTTCCTGAAAAGGGTGATGTTTGATTGCATCACATTTCTGCATTATGTTTTGTGTGTCCAAGAACTTTTGCTTATTTTATGGATGTAGTCTTTTAAATCAGAGTTTTGGCAGTAAACATTTCTGGTAACTTAAAAAAAAAAAGCTTTCAAGGGTAAGGATTGTTCTGTAGTTTTGAGAGTTTTCCAGTTGGCTTGTACAAGACTGAATAAAGAAAATAAAAAAGCAGTATGTAATTTTTTGGATACAGCCTTTTCTATGATATTATAATGATTATGATGGATTATTTTGGAAGAACCTCATTTTCACAGCCAGAAAGTAGTATGATGCTTTCAGGTACAAACTTCCATGAAGCAAGCTACCATGATCTTAAGAACAGGTGTTCTCAAGAATATGGCTAAATAGATAATTTGTAGACAAAAAAATAAGCATGTAGGTTTTTTTCTCTTGAAAGAAACCTTTTTACTTCATGAAGTAAATGTAGACTTTTATATTTGTCTCGTTAACCTATAGTTGTGTTTTTCTGTATGTTTAGATTCTGATTTGAGATATTTAAAATAACTAGTTGATTCTGATATATTTTATTACTAGGCTTTTCAATTGTAAATAACTCCTTACTTTCTTTTTCAGTTAAGAGTTAATAGAAGGGTCATAATTTTTTATTGATCCAATAACATTTTCTCATTGAGTTTTAGTTTCATATTGGGAAGTTAATAGTTTTTTATAGTGGAAGATATATTGTTCTTTTTCATTTTTTCTTGAAGAATGCACTGTACTTCTGTATTTATAGTTCAGTTTTATATGCCTATAAAACAATGATGCATACTATGATAAGTATCATTTGTTTGAATGTACGTTTTAGCTTTTACTTTCAGTAAACTTAAAAGGATTTCAATTTAGCTTTGGTCACTGGGTTTTTCTCCTTTTGTAGCCTTTTCCTTTAGTCTCCTCTTCCCGGTGGTTGGTAAAAAGAGGTGAATTGACAGCCTATGTTGAAGACACTGTGCTTTTCTCAAGAAGGACATCCAAACAGCAAGTCTACTTCTTTCTCTTTAACGATGTGCTCATTATCACCAAGAAGAAGAGGTAAGTCTTTATCTGGTGTTGCTGACTAGACATTCCAGTTTTAAAGTTCTGTAATTCAGATGCCTGTTAGGGTGATCATCCTTTAAAAGCTAGAAATGTTGGAAGTATAGTTTCTACATACTGAATCATAATTGCATCTATGGTTCATTTTCTTTAAATTGCTTATGTAGTTTCAGACGAATCATTATCTGCATCATAATTCTTGCCAACCTCTATTGAGCCACTGTTCTAAGCATTTTACACATTTATATCATTCAATTCTTATGATATCCCTGAGAAGGTAGCACTGTTTTTATTCTCATTCTGTGTTTTTCAGACTCCTTCTACCATAAAATTTTTGTGTAAAACAGAAAAAAGTTGGTCCAGTTGAGAACAGGTTGGGGAGCAACTCTAGTGCTCCTTTTAACTTAATTTAAAATGCACTGCTTTTAATGATCCTTAGTCTAAAACATTCCCCTGTGACTGGGAAGGTGTTAGCCATACTCCCTTCTGAAGGGAATGAAGTAAATCATTTGATTGGCAGAGTGTTTGTTCTTCTTACTCCAGGCTTCTAGTTCTGTGTTTGTGTCCAGCTCTGGTGAGATGTCCATGAAGAATATTGTAGAAACCTTTTCTTTCCAGTATTTCTTCTGTCAGACTGTTTCTGTTCTACACACACACACACACACACACACACACACACACACCCCTTCAGCTCTGCCTTTCTCTAGGGAACATACTTTATTAAATGCACCCAACACATGTAAGGTCCTATGTAAATATTCCGTCTTTCCTAGAATATGAACTTAGAGTGAAAACTTAAATCTGTGGGCTGTTATTTCCACATATGAGGGAAATGATGGTGGCCTGAATTGATGGCATATGGTGGGATCAGGGGTGGTCCTGGGGTGCAATTTAGGCAAGGTGAAGAGAATTATAGAAACAGATCTCTATGAAAATACAAAATAAATGTCCAAATGTATCAGGCATATTTAATTAAATGCTAGTTCTGAGTTGCTGACTTTATAGCTTGAAAATTCAAACTAAATTAAAACAGATTGAGTTCTTCTTTTTGCTCCTTTTAATCAGACCATATTATGAATTATTTCAGCTGAGTGGCTGTCTAGCTGAAATGAAATGTTAGTATGGTCTTCCCTGAGAAGCCATAATGTGACAATGATACATACATTAAAATGCTGATCATTATTTTTCATACTTAGGAAAATTCTATTTCCATATCTCCAAGGAGAAATTACTTCTCTTACCTGGAGTAGTCTAAATAGTTCTAGCAGCTAAGTAAAAATTTTTTTTTTTTTTTTTTTTTGAGATAGAGTCTTGCTGTGTCCCACAGGCTGGAGTGCAGTGGCGTGATCTCGGCTCACTGCAGGCTCCGCCTCCCGGGTTCACGCCATTCTCCTGCCTCAGCCTCTCGCAGGCGCCCGCTACCACACCCAGCTAATTTTTTGTATTTTTAGTGGAGATGGGGTTTCACCATGTCAGCTAGGATGGTCTCAATCTCCTGACCTCGTGATCTGCCTGCCTCAGCTTCCTAAAGTGCTGGGATTATAGGCATGAGCCACTGCGCCCAGCCGTAAATTTTATAAAGAAAGATGGGAGAAGAATTATAATTTTTATGTTTTTGTGTTTTGTTGGTTTCCTATGAGATAGCATTTTTCCTTGGCTTTCTCCAGGATGTTTTGTTTTTAGGGGAGAGTAGTTATATATGTCTCTTCAAATGCCAGAACTCTTGACTTTTAACATCTTCCAGCTGTTGAAATATTTGTTCTGTCTCAGTAGACCAAGAGCTTTAACTAAAATTTGATTTAAATGGTAAAATGTACACTGACAGTACCAAGCCAATTTTAAATATAAATGTAATTTCGATTATGATGACTTTGGTGACTTAATGAAAATATTAAAGGTATTTAAACCAGTACAGTGCAACTTTTGTTCTTGAATTTGCACAGACCTACTCAATAAATATAGACTATTGAAAGTCAGAATTAAGGTATATGCTCTTCTACTTAGTAGCGTACTTTGCCCTTCACAGATGGTGTTGCTCTCCTAGCTATCCCACATTTATTTGCTCAGGTAAATTTGAACTTGTATTATTAATAAAGAGCAATGCCATTGGGAGTCTTTGAGAATTTTTTTTTTTTTTTTGAGACGGGCGTTTTGCTGTTGTTGCCCAGGCTGGAGTGCAATGGCATGATCTCTGGTTCACTGCAACCTCTGCCTCCCAGGTTCAAGTGATTCTCCTGCCTCAGCCTCCTGAGTAGCTGGGATTACAGGCATGCGCCACCATGCCTGGCTAATTTTGTATTTTTAGTAGAGATGGGGTTTCTCCATGTTTGTCAGGCTGGTCTAGAACTCCTGACCTCAGGTGATCTGCCTGTCTCGGCCTCCCAAAGTGCTGGAATTAGAGGCGTGAGCCACCGCACCTGGCCTTTTTTTTTTTTTCTTTTTCTTTTTTTTCTTTTTCTTTTTTTTAAGAGCAAGATACACAGCTCCAATGGAGAGGACAACCTGAGTACCTAACTTGGCCTTTACCAAAACTAGAATTTTTTTTTTGCCTTACCAATTAGTTCATTATATTTCTAGGGTGTTCTTAGGTAATAGTATTGGAGACCTAATTGTTTATGACCTGAATATGTGGTGAGGTTACATGCAAACCACAGAAGCTTCATAAACAGACTTGGTTAAAAATGTACACTATGCCTGACCGTATTTACATGATAGCTTCAAGGAGGCGAACTGCAAATGCTTTGCATGCCAGAGGCAACAGTAAAGGAGATACAACAACCCTGAACAAGGCGATAATTTAGGCTTGGCCACAAGTTACAGATAAAGGAAAATCACCTGTGCCAGCGCTTGAGGACTGATCTAGCCACCCACTGCCTAATTCTAATTCCAGGTTTCAGTCAAGGAACTTAGCAGCTGGGCTTCCAGTGGTTTTCCTCTTCAGGGAGGTTTTTCAGCTACTGAGAAAAGCTGCTCGGGAGGACAGTTACTCTTCCTCCTCCGATCCAGACTGGCAGAAGGTTTATACTGGGCACATTCCATAGATTGCTGAGGTGTGTGGACCCCCTCCACTTCACAGTGCATGTATCACTGCTTGTGCTTGTAAAGCTGGCTTGATGAGTGGCCATGACACTGTCTTTGTGACAGGAATTTTCACTTTTTTAGAACATTAAAAACAAGCTTATTTTAATTATTAATTTTTTTTTTAGAGACGGGACCTTGTTATGTTGCCCAGGCTGCAGTTCAGTGGCTATTCACAGGCATGATCATAGCACACTGCAGCCTCACACTCCTGGGCTCAGGCAGCCCTTCCACCTCAGCCTCCTGAGTAGCTGGGGCTGTGGGCATGTGCCTTTCTCTTTACAAGAAAGTTTAAAGTTTTCATTAGCCCTGGCTGCTAGTGAGTCACTCTGTTAATAGCCTGGTTCTACCAGATTTCAAAAGGATACATGATTGATTACTCTGGATGAGGGATGAGGACATGAACACTTTGGTATTTGAAGCTTTGACTAGAAGTTATCTGGGTACTGCAAGAGCAGACTTCTCAACCTTGGCACGATTGACATTTTGGGGCCTGATGTTTCTTTGTTGTAGAGGACTGTCCTGTGCAATAATGTAGGATGTTTTAGCAGCATTCCTCGTCTCTATCCACTGTTCGCTAGTAACAGCCCCCTTACACCCTAGTTGCGACAACCAAAAATGTCTCTGGACGTTTTTGCCTAATGTCCCCATGGAGCAAATCCCTGCTAGTTGACAACCACTATACTAGCATGGTAGTAAACTAAACTAGCTTTGCCTTTGGAGTAGTGAAGGTGTGAAAATCTATCAGACTGACACAGCAAGAATAGTAATATTGTATTATAAAAGTAATTTATTGTCAAGTTATACTCATAGATTAACAAATAACATTATAATATCCAATATGTGCCTACTGATAACTTATTATAATAAAGATGAATTACAGACTGTACCTTCATGTATAACCTATGGTCTAAATACTGTTGTTCCTAGTTTTGAAATACAAAACTGAATCCAAGATCTAACTAGGTTCAAGCTACTAAAAGATTTATTTTGTAAGATATAGTCCCTTCTATCTGGCTTAGGTCTTCTCTACCAATATCACCTGAAGCTGAAAGCAAAATTTTCCTTCCTGTATTTGTTTCCTTACTGTGTTAGTTTCTTACAGCTGCTGTATCAAAGTGCCACAAACAAAGTGAGTGGCTTAAAACAGTCAGAATTTATTGTCTCACAGTTCTGGAGGCCAGGATTATTTCCATTTCACAGATGAAGACGCTGAGGAAAAGAGAGATAAAATATCTTTTTCAAGGTCTTTCAGCAGAGCCAGGATTCTAATCTGAGTCTTTGTTTCCAGAGGCTCAATTTCTTTATGTTCATTACTTCTTCATTTTATTTTTCTAGAATATTTCACTTTTCCCCTCATCCTATAAAGTTATTGGGGGAAAAAAGCATAGAAACTTACAACTTTTTTGTTTGTTTGGAGAAACATCTTTTCCAAAGTAAGCTTTTGTTGAGTATTTTTATAGTTTTACTGGTTGTAGGAGAAAACTAGAACCAGTACCAAATCATATTTGTGAGTTTTCCTCTGCCATTAGCTAATCTAGCATCAGAATCTGGGGAAGAGTTTCCCTTTGTTAACATTTCCTTCCTGCAGACATTTAAGACAGGAGATTTCTACTTCCTGATTTCTGGTTCCATAAATACTGTGTATAGCTTGAGCCCTGGTTACAACTTTCTAGGTTTTATAAAAAGGTTTTCAAAATTTTTAATTTTTTTTTCAGGTTTTATAAAATTTTCTGTAATAGCAAACTACTAGGTCATTATCATAAGGTCAAGGACTTAAGTTCAAATTTGGATTTTCCCAAATAGTTTGAACACCCAGTGGCTCAAAGCTGTGCAGGCTCCCTTGAAAGGTTCATGGCCTGGTTTGGTTCCATTTTTTGCTTTTTCCATGAGAATGCTCTTTCCTATTATAGAAAGCTGAAAATCACCTGATACCTGTTTCATCTGCAGAATAAACTCGTTCCTAGGGAAGTCAAGAGTATCCTGGCTAAAGGAAAGGCAGTAAAAATGATTGCAAGCTCCTTTGTTCCTGAAACACATGAAGCTTGCTTATTTCTGACCATTTTGGAATTGAGTTCTAAATTCAAGATGGCAAGATGGGGTGGAAAAGAAATGGGAGCCCTGTTTCCTTTTTGCTCCTTTTTTTCTTCCGCTGTCATTTGCAGCCTTGATTCCTCTGATGTTATGAGGTATTGTTTCCCCTGCATCTGTAAGGAGAGTTGGCATTGCTGTTAAATGTTGAAAGCTGCCACTACTGAGAAGCACAATATCGATGCCTGGGGTCAGAAAACTGAGCTCAAATCCTGGGCAAATTACTTCTCGTCTCTCAGAGCCTCAGTGTTCTATCTGTAATATGGGGATAATAACATCATCTTCATCATGGAGTTTCTGTGAGAATTAAATGAGATAATGCACATAAAGCTCTTACTACAGTGAATATGAATAGTCCTGCTAAGTAACTGATACATGCTATCATTAAGATTATTTTTGGTATTGTGTTCTCTCTCTAAAGATTTTGCCGTAAATCAAATTATTGCCCTTCTGCTTCTAGAATATTTTATTGTTTTTAAAAAATGATTTTAAACCTTTACGTAATTGCTACATAGCTGAAGGTACGGCACGCTCTAGGACCAGACATGAATTTATGGCCTCCAGAACATGAGCAGTTTAGGAATAAATGCCTTTAACTCTATGCCTTTCCCTCCTCATGAAACCCATGTCAGGCGGCAAGTGAGTGAGGAAAAACTATTGGTCAATTTTTATTCTTTATAAATTGGTGTAAATCATGTGTACACGTTGTAGTAGCAGTTTTTTTTTTTTTTCACTATTCCTAAATGACTAGGAGACACTATAACATTGTTGCTGAAAAATGTGAAATAAATAGTATATTTTTCCTTTTTATTGATGTCGTCAGTAGTGTGGTACTCCTGAATTGGAGTGTGGGGTTGCTGTATAATTTGGATAACCTTGTTACCCACTTAAGAAGCTGTGCCTGCTCTTCAGGGCTTGCTTAGTTCAGCTTATCCCAGGGAGAGAGCTTCAGAAAGGTGGTGACAGCCTCTCAGAACTGTCCATCTCCTCTTTTTCAAGGACTATGGGTTCAGAGCATCCCATGAGCAGCCACAGAAGTGCTGGGCTGTGGCATCTGGTGACCCTTGGTGACAGGGATGGGGCTTCCTGGCCCTTTTCTGGGTCACTGGCCATCTTTTTTGGTGGCAGTCATACTGATGAATGGGGATCCTCATCTCCACTATTTGTTATATTATTAACAATGAAATAGGATGTATGTGGCATGTTTGTTAGACTTCAGAATTAGCTTGAGGAACTGAGCAAGTAAGCCTATTTGAAATCAGTTTCTGGATAAATATTGTGCCTTGTTTTGCTGGTCTGAGCACTTGCCAAATTGTGGATTTCTTGACATGGGTATTTAGCTCTAATTATGCTTGGTCCACTTGTGCATTTGCAAAACATATAATTATCAGGCTTTTAACAAAATGTCAGGCAATTTAAATGGATGGCGTTCTGTTAAGAAAATAAAAAAAATAGCTGACATTTACTGTAAGTCAGGCATGATTGTAAGTGCCTTACACACAATGAGGTAATAAATGTATTATCTCATTTAATCCTCTCAACAATCCAGTCAAGTTGGTACTGTTATTCCCACTTTACAGATGAGAAAACTGAAGCACAGAGAGGATCAGTAACTTGCTTTGGTTCACAAAGCCAGTGAGTGAGTGGGTTTCTTTCTTTCTTTTTTTTTTTTTGAGACGGAGTCACCCAGGCTGGAGTGCAGTGGCATGATCTCGGCTCACTGCAACCTCCAACTCCTGGGTTCAAGCGATTCTCCTGCCTCAGCCTCCGGAGTAGCTGGGACTACAGGTGCTTGCCACCACGCCCGGCTAATTTTTTTTTTCTATTTTTAGTAAAGACGGGGTTTTACCATGTTAGCCAGGATGGTGTGGATCTACTGACCTCGTGATCCACCTGCCTTTGCCTCCCAGAGTGCTGGGATTACAGGTGTGAGCCACTGCATCCAGCCTAGAATTGGGTTTCTTACCAGACATTCCAAATCATGGCTCTACTCTTACCTGCTGTGCCATATTTCATTCCTTTAAAATTGTATATTATTCCACTAAAAACATGTTAGTAGTATAATTCTAAAACCAAATTGAAATGGAAATCAACCTCAGTCAAGTGAAAAAAAATTTTTAACTCCTTGACTTAAAATAAATTTCAGCATAAATTCAATGTCCTTCATCCCAGCAAAGTTTGACTAGAGTGTTTCTGTTCCATTTAAACACACGATCAAGTGCGACGGTTTAGGAATCATGTTTTTTAGAAGGAGAAGGGAAACAAGTTGAAATCTACAGAACACTTTTTCTCATACATATATTGGAGGAAAGTAGGAAGAATTTCCTTTGATCTCATAAACCCCATTAACTCCTGTGTATCAGTGCTACTGGGGGGGAATGTCAGAGCCATTAAATTCCTCAGAGGGATTTAATGCACGACAGTCTAGAAGAGGATCTTGGAGAGTGTCCCCAAAGAAGAATGACTTAGAAATGTCACAGAAGGCATTAGAAGATAGAGTTTCAGGATTCACAGTTGCTCAGTGTCACTAGATTCTGTATACATGCAAAGAGAAATAATGGTGAAATCCAGGTGTTTAATTTGGTGGGGTGATGGGCCATGGTGGCCTTCGGAAGCCATTTCACTGGCCTGTAAGCACAAGGGTCTGAAAAAACGCAGGCAGCTGCTAACTCAGGAAACATTTGTTGTGGCACCAGCACATTCTAGTAAATATTTTTTTCGGGACAGAAAAGCTATGTGAATGTTCTAAAGCCTATGGAAAGGAAACTACTGAATAGGTAAAAAATAAATGTCACTATCTTGAGAATATATGCCAAAAATCATATGAATATCAATGATGTGATAAATCTCAATAGCATCTTTTCTTTTAAATTAAACCTTTTTACAAAAGGAAGAACTGGAAGTGCTGCTTGGGTTTCCATCTGTCGGATTTGGGCCATAAAACAGAGTTTTAAAACAATGTAAGCGGGTACGTGAGAGTTACACCTACAGCTGGGGCTGAGAGACGTGGGTTGTGGGAAAGCTGGCTTGTGCAGTCTAACCCTTTCCCTTGCCTCCCCATCACCATCCTTCCTTTCACTATCCTGGGTGCATCTTGGTAAGCTAGCCTATTTTCCATTCCTGTTCATCCGTATTAAGTATCTAAAATGCTTGCTAATAAGGATTAAGATGAGAACTTGCCCTAAGGTATGTACATGTTTAACAGCACCTCTCTGACCACAAGGCAGGCCGTTAAAGGTCTGTATCCAGCAGAAAGACCTGTCTTGTCACTTAGTTTTTCTTCACAACTCTTTATGTACCCAGAGCTTGGGTCCAAGGAAATATCCTGGTTTAAGGAGTGAGATTGGGATCAACATTTTAAAAAAATATTTGATATGTTTCCCCAAATGTCCCAATATTATTTATTGATTAACCCATTAATTTTTTTAGAGATTTGAAATGTCACCTCTATATCCCCAGACATGTCTGTGTCAACTCGCAAACCCACTATTCTGCTTCACAATTCATCAGTCAACTCGTGCCCTTGTCCCAGTCTTTGAATTTCTGCAGCTTTACAGTATGTTTATTTTTTAATTTTTTAATTTTAATTTTAATTTTTTTTGAAGCGGAGTCTCACTTTGTCGCCCAGGCTGGAGTGCGGTGGCGCAATCTCGGCTCACTGCAAGGTCCGCCTCTCAGGTTCACGCCATTCTTCTGCCTCAGCCTCCTGAGTAGCTGGGACTACAGGCGCTCACCACCGCGCCCGGCTAATTTTTTGTATTTTTAGAGACGGGGTTTCACCGTGTTATCCAGGATGGTCTCGATCTCCTGACCTTGTGATCCGCCCGCCTTGGCCTCCCTACAGTATGTTTTAATACATCATAAGGCTAGTTTATTCTTTTTTTTTTCCACAATCTTTCTGGCTATTTCTGCATGTTTATTTTTTTTCCGTGTTTTACAATCAACTCAACTATTTCTACTCCCTGCCATCTCTCAAAAAACCCTTGCTTGTGTTTTCACTGGGTTGTGTTTAAATTATGTATTAATTTAGGAGGAATTGGTATCTTGATAATATCAAGCTTTTCTATTCATTAATTTGGGCCTTCTTCTAAAGTTGTTTAAGGTTATCTACATATAGAAGAAACCTGTTAAGTTTAATCCATATTAAGGGTTTTGTGGGTTTTGTCATAAAGTGGGTTTTGTCATAAATAAAGTGACATCTTCATTTTATATTCTAACTGGGTGTTATTCATATATACAAAAGCCATTTTTTAACACCTAATCACTTTACTGAATTCACTCTCACTTGGTAGTATATTTTCAGTCAATGATGTCATCTGCAAAGAGTTAGTTGTTAGAGGGCAGAAAAGACATTCCACTATCAGGTAGTCACTTCAGTTGCATCCTTAAGCAGCCACAGACACCTAGAGTGATGATAGCTGTCATATCTATGTATTTTTGATGAAATTCTTGTTTTTTACTTTTACTTGTAAAATGGTTCAACCTTGCAGAAAATTATCAAACATGAACATACCTATCATCCATACTTAACAGATACTTTTTGCCGTATTAGTGTCAGATCCCTCCTTTTTAAACAAAAAAAAATATATAAAACACTTCAGATTACCCAAAGTCCTTCCACCCTCAGCCCTTCTTCCTCCTCTTCTCCAGAGTACCTGCTCCGCTGAAGTTGGCATCTCTTTATTCTTGTGCTAACTACTGCAGATACATATATGGAGCTTTAGTATTTTTAAAATGTATGCAAGTTGTATGCAAATTTTTAAATGTCTTCCTGATTTCAAAGTAATAAATATATGCTCAGAATGAAAATTCTAACCTTTATAGAAATTATGGGACAGAAACTTAAAGGGCTTCATAATAATCTCCTTAAGAAAGCCACTGTTGATAATAAGGTATATCATTTTTCTGCCTTTGATGTTATGTTGCGTATAGTAGAACCAAACACTGACCTGCTTAACAAAGAATGCCCTCCAGAGAAGAAAAAAACAATCAGAATATGTATTTACCATCATATCCTGTTCTCTACTAGTAGTTCTTTATTTTGTTAAAAACAAGAAAAGAAAGAAATCTCAACAAAGGTTACTAGGACCTTAAGTGGATTTCAACAGAGGAACCCATCACTGTTTACACTTCAAGCAACAGACTTATATAGATTTGATTCAGTTGAAGCACCTGATAGGAGCTGCTGCTTGCACAAAGCAGACGCCTTGATGAGCAGCTGGTAAACTTGGAGCACATATAAGACAATCAAAGGAAGTCTCCATATAAACTTCTCCATGCAAGGAAAGATGGTTTTTCCATTTGCCCTTTTCTGAGCACTTTAACTTCCTCATTACATGTTCCAAATTGTTTCAGAGACTATATAAACCATATGTTTGTTAAACGATAGAGACAAACATGGGGAAGTCTGATTAGCATCAGCTTCCCTCAGGAAGGGGGTTTCTTTCCCAACCCTGTTTAGCCTGCTCCATACTTATTGGACATGGGGTAAATAAGCAGAGATGGGAAACGGGCTTTAAACAGCTGCACCTGGCTATAGAGTTTCTGCTCCTCTTTCTACTGAAGCACTACTGTTAAATGGAATTGTTTCTTTTTATAGTAGATTTCCTAAAAGAGCAGTAAGGAAGGTGTAAAGACCTACATTATTTATTGCATAATGCAGAAGTTTACTGGCCTAGACGAAGTAATGATATTGGATATTGGGTGATAGTAAATTACTTTAAAAACAAACAAAAAGGCCAACATGTTTCCTGCATTTTGTTTTGGACCCAGAAGTCCAGTGGGCCAAGTTCCTTGTTCAGGCATATTCAATGACACAACTATGCAGATGTGTGGAAATAAACACTTGAGGTGAAATCATATAGCTGTGATTAGGGCAGCCACAGTTTATCATTCAAACTGGACATTTGAGAGGACTACAGGCATAAACTGAGCCCAGCAGCCATCCTGGGTCTTAATCAGTGGCATTGTAGTTGTCATTGCTTAAGAGAACAATTAATAAACATTTTAAAAAAGTATCTACTTCTGTCTTTATCCCCCAAAGACAAGAAATTAAAGCATTTATGACTGAAAATTGAAAAAGAAGCTGGCTGGGTGTGGTGGATCAGGCCTGTAATCCCAGCACTTTGGGAGGCCGATTACTTGAGGTCAAGAGTTCCAGACCAGCATGGCCAACATGGTGAAACCCTGTCTCTACTAAAAATACAAAAATTAACCAGGCATGGTGGTGCATGCCTGTAATCCCAGCTACACGGGAGGCTGAGGCAGGAGAATCACTTAAACCTGGCAGGCGGAGGTTGCAGTGAGCTGAGAGTGCACCACTGCACTCCAGCCTGGGTGACAGAGTGAGACTCCGTCACACACACACACACACACACACACACACACACACTTAACTAGTTTATTCATATTAGCTTATATTCATTTTCTGTGAACCCTTGGTTTTGAATTCTATTGGGATGACTTGATAGGTGAAACCACTTTATGTTGACAACATTTTCGAATTTGAGTCATCTCAAATGATGACTTTATAGCATATTCATTTCTTTGACTTTTATTTCTTTGGAAATACCTACAACGCCTACACACATGTCATTGTTTAGGGCCTTACCCCATGTTCACAATATTAGGTTGCTTCCATTTCTCTTTCTGAAGCAGAATTGTTTTTAAACAGAAACAGGTGCCTTTGACTAACAGGTTTTTTAACTTGTAAATTGGACCAAAAGAGTAATCATAAGGGGCAGAGAGAAAATAGTAACAAAGAAGCCTCAGTTCATCCTCTTTTTCTCTTGTTTTTGATGCTGTTGTTGTTGAGGTTTTGTTATGTTTGCTGTTTTATCCTGGTTTTGGTTTTTATCCTGAGTCCTATGCTGTTCAATGCATGTCTGATATAGTATCTATACAACATGATAAACTTGTTCTGTGTTGCTAAAAATTGACTGCTTTGTTTCTAGTAAACATAGTCTTTTAAAAAATGACCGTATTTGTTTGTAAAGCGTATTATTCACCTTCCTCTTTTTATAAACATCATGTCTACTTTGATAAGTCTCATTTTGGATGTGAGAAATATTTGACATATCCAAGTGTGGGTGTGCTGGTCTGTAGGCAGTCTCAGGAGAACTTTGGAGATAATCGTGCCACACAATCTTTTAATTAATACAGATTACTATCCTAGGAACAATTAGGCTTGATCAGAAGGCAATATTTTGCTTTTATAGATAACTGCATTTGCTGTTTTTTGAGGGCAGAATCTATCAAACCAAATTTTAGAAAAGATTATAAAGTTTTTCAAGGAGCATGACAAAAGAGTGGTTGACAGGTAGATGTCCATTCTGAGGAAAATAAATTCCAGGAAATCTTGAGCAAAGTGGCCTGTTCTGAAATTCCTCCTAGTGTACTGGACTAGGCACAAGGAGTTTTCTTTTCTCTAAGCTCCCCTGACATCATTCATTTGCATTTATTATTAAATGAGGTAATTATTCGATATTCCTAGCGTATATTAGAATTTATTGCATATTCATCCACTTATGTGACAGTTATTTATTGAGCACTCTCATGTTCACTCGCAAGGGTGCAGGTGCAGAGTAGAGGAAAAGCTGTATGTCACCAGGTTCGGGATTTGCCAGGCAAATACAATCAAGGAGATGAATGTGTATGCAAGATGTGATTTAACTGGGTACCAAGAAATGCAAGCTAGCTAATTTAATATGCATGAACAAGAGGACATGAGGGAATTAAGGGGGGGAGGCGGAAGGTTGTAGAGTCAATGGGTTGTAAGAACTGGTGAGTTAAATAATGGTTGGTGTTGAGGATTAGAGGAGGTGAGTTGGAAAGAAAGGCCATGCTGGTTAGAGAGTGGTATGTTTGACACTGGGATTACAGAGAGTTTGTAGTTGATGGTAATGACAAGGACTAAGGTATAACCATGGATTTGTGGCTGAAGTAGGGCAGAAAACAAGATCATCGGAGGAGAGTAAAGTCGGGGAATTGAGGGTACAGGGTAATGGAAAGATCCTTTACAGGAGACTTCAAGAAAGAAGTAGTGTTGGGGACTTGATGTAAATGACCGAGAGAGAGAGGGAGAGAGAGAGAGAGAGAGAGAGAGAGAGAGAGAGAGAGTGTGTGTGTGTGTGTGTGTGTGTGTGTGTGTGTGTGTGTGTATGAAGAAGTATTGTTGGAGAGAGACAGAGAGCCAGCAGTGAAACTCAAGGGAGAGGATCGGAAACGATCCAGGGGTCTATAGATGACTGTAGTTATGAGTTAGAGACTGATGCCATGAGCTTCAAAGCTGATGATGTTTCAGGAGGAGGAAGTGATCATTGTATAGAAGCAGGAATAAAAAGCAAGCAGGCAGAGAGCTCTCAGGAGACGCCTTGTTCTCTAGGGAGAGCCAGGTTTCTTTTAAGGCAAGAATGTGAAGGGAGGGTTCAGAGACGAGGCCAAGTATTTAGAAGACTTTACTAGTTTCTTAAATGAGGGAATTGCATTCCCAGAGGGTACAGTGGAAGGGGTTCAGGAACCAGCTGAGGAGTGGAAAAAAGTGGGGCCAGATTGGGCATGTTCACAGTGCGATGGGAATGGGAGTGCAGGAGAAAGAAGGATATTGGGGTTCCTGAGCCTAAGCAGGAATGGAGGGCATAATGAGATTAGTCCTGGTGGTTTGTGAAACAGGTGGTGAGGCTCTGAGTGTGGGACACAAGGATGGGTTGGGTGTCTTGCCAGAAGCAAGCAGACCTCTGGGGCTCTTCTCTTCAATGCATGGTCATTTGGAGATGGGGGGTTTGGGGGGTGAGGTCTTGTTACCCAGAGCATGAGTAGAAGGCTCCTCCTTCATTCTGCAAATAGAGATGTGGAAGCTGGGGAGGTACACCTGCTGGAGCATGACCAAGATGCATGTAAGGATGCAAGGATCACTTATTATAACAGTTCCAGGATGATGTCAATACTTGAGATGCAATTTAGTGTGTTACATCCATAAAAATAGTAATTAGGTTTAATTGGAGGGGGTTACATTGATTCATAATCAGTAGATAGAATTCAAATTCCAATTCATAGTTTAAAATAAGTCATTCTTTCCCTCTCCTTCCTGCCCACTCCTTGCTGTTTCCACCAAAATGTGCCTCGAAAACTGACAATGTCAGTCTTATCTGCTGAATAATTGACGTGTTCTTTTCCCTTTCCTTTACAGTGAAGAAAGTTACAACGTCAATGATTATTCCTTAAGAGATCAGCTATTGGTGGAATCTTGTGACAATGAAGAGCTTAATTCTTCTCCAGGGAAGAACAGCTCCACAATGCTCTATTCAAGACAGAGCTCTGCCAGTCACCTCTTTACTCTGACAGTCCTTAGTAACCACGCGAATGAGAAAGTGGAGATGCTACTAGGAGCTGAGACGCAGTAAGTATATGTGGGGAAAAGATTGGAATAGCTGATAGTATCTCCCTGACCTGATTTTCTTTGGTTTACAGACTTCCTAAAAACAGCAGCTACTATTCATGTTTTTGTTGAGCACCTACTGTTCGCTAAGCACTATGACTGGGTAATTTTTACAGATGTTGTTCTTTTCATTGTAATCTTCTTACAGGAGAAGGATGTTGTTATTTTTTCCCTATAAGTCCTGATAGATGCACTGTGCTTTAGGTGATGTCTTTATTTTTATAGAGTGGTTTAAAAATCATTTTACTTTTTTCATTGACAAAAATATGATACACTATCCTTAAGGAATATGACTCAACTGGTATTTTGAGTCTAGGCCATAAGCCTTCTTAGGTAATGGAATTCAGGTCGTTTCTCAGTCACCTACCTTCAACCAGAGAGCAGAAAGCCCAATGATTTCTGTCAAAAGAGCTACCCAGTTTACGGAAATATACTGATAAATCCTCTTTCTAATCCAGAGTTTATGCACGACCAAAACAGGCGTCCTGTTGGTGCCTGCAGTTTCGCCAGCAGTTAGTGTGCACTTAGTTCTCACATTGGATGAGTGGCAGTGAGGGTTAACTTTCAAGTCCACCTTAGTGATTTTTTGGTCCACTTAAAGATGACTGACCAATGTTTTTGTTTAGAAACTGGAAACTTCCTCTTGCAATAATCATCATGGGCAGATATTATATTGGGTCAGAGAGTGGAACAGTGGAGGGAAAGGAGAAGTTCCCTAATTCTTTGTCCTCTCAGATTCCTGCCTCCAACTCCATGTCTGCCAGGGTTCCTAAATGGTGTGGTTAAAATGGATCAGCAGCTGATGAATAACAACCCTAAAATTGTAGCAAGATCTTAGAGAAAGTGATCCCAAAGAGGTATCTTCACCTTAAGACTGATTTTAACAGTGTTCCTAGATGATTAACGAGAATATTCAAGAAAAGTTATTGAAGGACACTTGCTAAAGCGCAGTAAGCTTCGCAGCCTTTATGCAAGGTCATCTTAACAGGCGTAAGGACCATTGCAGCAACGTCTCCAGTAGGGGAGAGAGATTGGGCTCAACTTCCAACACAGCATGGGCAAGTGGGAATTCATAGCCATAGGGCAGGATGGAGGTCAGTGGATGGAAACTTACTGAGAGGAAATATCAGAGATAAGGGCTATTCTGGCTAAACTAACCAAACAGGATTCTTGCTGAAGACAGGCCAGGGTAATTAGACATCATAACCTCTGGGATGATGGAGAATAATGAATCTTATCAGATATTGAGGATGGGGTAGGGGATATTCTTGCCAAATTGACTTAGTAGGGTTCTTTGCTAAAACTGGATTTTACGAAGAACTGTACAGATGAGCCTAGGAGAAGGTACAGAAATCTAACTGAAGTTTGGCCAAGCCAAGAATCTTTGTCAAGAGACATAAGAAAAATGTGAAAATTACAAGGCACCCACATAAAATGTCAAATTATTTCATATCTTTTGGCACTAGAAGTAGCATTTCACAGGCTAGAGAAAAAACCAAGGACAGGTTGGTGAAAGCTGTAGCATATTCCAAATGAGCTGGAGAGTTCACCAAGGTAATGAAAAAAGAAATATATTTCATAAGGCTACAGCTACCATAGACAGTGGTTCCTCTGATGGATCTGGGCAAAGTAAATTAAAAGCCTTCTGGAAAAGATTCACCATCGTAGATGTCATTAAAAACATTCATAATTTCATGGGAGGAGATCAACATATCAACATGAACAGGAGTTGGGAAAAGTTGATTCCAACTCTCATGGATGACTTTGAGGGGTTCAAGACTTCAGCGGAGGAAGCAACTGCAGATGCAATGGAAATAGCGAGAGAACTAGATTTAGAAATGGAGACTGAAGATGCAACTGAATTGCTGCAATCTCATAATAAAACTTGAACAAATGAGGAGTTGCTTCTTCAGGATGAGCAAAGAAAGTGAAGTTGCTGTGAGCATTGTGGAAATGACAACAAAGGATTTAGAATATTCCGTAAACTGAATTGATAAAGCAGTGGCAAAGTTTGAGACGATTGACTCCAATTTTGCAAGAAGTTCTGCAGAGGATAAAATACTATCAAACAGCATTGCATGCTATACAGAAATCTTTCATGAATGAAAGAGTCAATTGATGCAGCAAACTTCACTGTGGTCTTAAGAAACGGCCACAGCCACCCAAACCTTCAGCAACCATCACCCTAGTCAGCAGCCATCAAAAAAAAAAGGGAGCTTCATCTTCATGTGTTTGTTTACAAAACAAACAAATGCCTTTCTCTGAGATCCCAGAGTTCTTCCCCTAAAGGTGCTGAAAAGCGCTGATGGCATTCCAAGCATGCCCCTCTGTGTTTGCGGCTGTGGGGAGGTGAGCTTGGGTGGGCGTGTGCTTGCTGATCTGTGAGGTGACCAGCAAGTGACACACCCAAGACCAGGGTCAAGGGGAGGCATTACTTGAACTCCAAAAGTGGTTTAAACCTCTTGGCCAGTGAGGACAAACTAGACTTCCTTTGTGTGGGGAAACTTCTCCTCAAAACAGAATTTTTAGTATGCCTGTGCTTTGGATTTTATATGACTTTAAGGATGAGAATGACTTTAACACTTTGGAAATCAGTAATTTTCCAGTGTTCCAGAGAATTCTCAGAAACTAGAGACTTCCCTTTCCCCGTATAGTTAGTAATGGTGAAAGTGTTGCTGGTTTTGCCTTGTGTTTTCCTTTTCTTTGGTTTACAAGGATTGTTTGTTCTTTATTCAGGCCTTGCCAACATCTCAACAGAGATTTTCCTGACTGTCTCATTCATAATTTATGTAGTCTCCACCACTCATTTCTGAGATGATTCCAAGAGAGTAGGAGGTGAACTGACATGTCCAGCTTATTTCACGCCAAGGCTAGATCCTTTCCTGGGACATTCTGTAGCATTTGTTCCATCCTTTTGCCTTTTAATCTTGCCAAAGACTGAATGGTTGTTCGTTTCCTCAATCAGACATGTTCTCAGAATATTTAGTCATGTCACTTGGAAACCCATAGGTCTGACTCATATTTGTAGTTATTTAATTAATAGCAAGAGAACATTCCAGAAGGGGCATGGGACAGAGGTCTCCTTGGGTACAGAGGGAGTGACTCTCTCATTCTCTTTGCTCTCCCCACCCCCACCCTCAATTACAGTTGAGAAGTAAATAAATGGACATGCTTTCAAGACATAAAATAGTATTGGTGTTGAAAAAATATATTTAACAACTAAAGACGCACTTTCCTTAAAAATAAAAAAGACTATTAAAAAACCTGGCAAATTGTTACATGCCATGTTTGCAAATATGCAGGTTAGCTTTGGGCTACCGAGTTTTGAGCAATTAGAGTTTTGATATGCATAGAATGTGTTATTTTCTTCCAACATTTGTGAAATGCATCAATAAGTATATATTGTTTAGGTTTTCTTTCTTTTATGTCTTTTTGGTTAATATGGTTCATTGGCAATCTAGTTGAAAAAACAAGGTTTGCACTACCATTCTAGCCTTAAGTAATTGAAGAACTTAGAGTCAGGTATATAATTTCACTACTTACTCTTTGACCTGAAAAATAATGAATTTTACACCTAAATCTTTACTTTCTTTGAAAAACTGTTGTCACTAAAGGCCACCTGAGGATATACAACATGTAAAATCAGCAGTAGGAGGGGTGCAGCTGTTTGGCACAAGGACAATTCAACTTCATAAGACAGTGAAATTGTGGAAGAAAAATCAATGGCTTTGATTACGTAAAGAATGCAGAAATGCTCACCAAAAGGAGTTGGGGCAAACAGTGAGCATCTGGGATATGCCAGGCACTGAGCCAGCTATAGAACATGACGAAGGGACCCATGGGTGTTTCTAGAGGAGGACAGAATTTTGAGCTGAAGAAAGCATATAGGGAAGTGATCAGACATCTTGGTTTTCCCAGAATCAGTTGTTCAAGTTTGGGTCCGTTGTCCTGGTGAAATTATGAATGATACTCTTTTTGACTCTCAAAAGGTCCTCGTTTATACAATGAAATATATGGTGACCCTAATTATATATAATTATAATATTACATAAAACAAAATATTATCAATAACAAATTATAAATATATACACATATTTATAATTATATACATGGTCCAACTCTCTCATTTTCTTCCCCCATGTGAAGTGACTCACAAAGGCCATACAGGAAGTGAGTTATTGCCAAAGCTGGAACTAGAATCTGGCCTTCCTGACAGTCTAGCAGTCTTTCTAGTAACAAATTTTATTCTTTTTACGGAGAAGCTGCCAACCAGTAGGCTGTTCCACCCCCACTTTGCTGCTCAGTTTGGCTTGTTCTGGATTTGGAAGGAAACCTCCAGGAAGTCAGTCGCTATTAACTGTGAGAAACTACTAAAATATAGAATTTTTTAAGTCCAAAGACTTTATTATTTTTTATTTTATTTTATTAAGACAGAGTTTCACTCTGTCGCCGGGGCTGGAGTGCAGTGGCACGATCTCGGCTCACTGCAACCTCCCCTTCACGGGTTCAAGTGATTCTCCTGCCTCAGCCTCTCAAAGAGCTGGGATTACAGGTGCTTATCACCATGCTTGGCTAATTTTTTTATTGTTAGTAGAGACGGGGTTTCACCATGTTGGCCAGGCTGGTCTCAAAACTCCTGACCTCAAGTGATTTGCCTGCCTCAGCTTCCAAAAGTGCCAGGATTACAGGCGTGAGCCATTGTGCCCGGCCTCAATCCGTAGGCTTTAAAAAGGAAAAAAGATTGTGGAAACCTAGATGTTAAATTTAGGATATCATATGGGTTAGAATATTTTATGATAAAATGCTAAATAGATATTGCATCCCCAAAATTATTTTCCATGTTAAACTTCCTTTTTTGTTCCTTTGCCTGTGTTTTTCATACTTCCTGGAATGCCCTCTTCAGGCCTCCTCAGATGGCCAGATGGCTCCTCTTAGGGCCCATGTCAAGCCTTTCCTCTGCTGAGGAGCCTCTCAGTACTGCACACTGCAGTCTCATCTTGAGAATGCCCAGTGCTCGCTGTGTGTGCCACTCATTAGTTCACTTTTCCCCTCATGTTTTCTGTCTCACCCACCCTCCACTGTATGACTCCAAACTCCCAGCCTCCTGCTACATCCTTCCTTTCCTTTACAGAACTTCTCAAGAGAGTGGCCTTCATTTCTCCAGATTAATTCAGTGGATTTTTGTCAGGCACCTACTTCCCATCAAGTGTTATTCTCAGTGCTGGGATGTAGCAGTGAACCATACGGAGATCAGATCTCTGCTCTTAGGCTTATATCCAAGTGAAGAACCGATCCCCTTGGGCTTCCTGCTCTTAGGAAGGGTGACTTTGGATGGAAGGGAGCTTTGGCCAGTCTGCCTGGGCAAATGGTCTGCAATGAGCTAGGATGATGGGAAAGTATTTCTTCATGATCCAGTTAAAAATAAAGGATCATTTCAGGTAGTGGTAAGTGCAGTGAAGACCCTAAAGCTGGTGATGTGATCCGGAGTGAGTGCTAATTGGGGGGTGGTGAGGATAGGTACTCTAACTTAGGTGGTGCAGAAAGACCTCTCTTAAGAGGTGATATTTGAGCCTTGAGTGAAAAGGAGGAGTCAACCCTTAGGAAAATGCAGAGTCAGAATGTTTCAGCCAAAGGGAACAGCAGGTGCAAAACCTCTAAGGAAACGAATTTAGTGTTCTCAAACTTGGCTTGAACATGGAGAATGTGGCTGGAGCAGAATAAACCAGGGAGAGGGGTGGCAGTCAATGGGCAACAAAGTCCAGTTTGTCTTCAGAGCTACCCCAGTGCTGTCTGTGGGCCATCAGTCCTCAAGTAGTTACCAGCCTGGTATGTAGGAAGCAGTTTGACATTTCTGAGGCATCAAAACTTGTGATTATTTTAACAATTAATTTATTTTTACTGTATTTCTAAAAATGCTTGGTCTGCAATGGATTCAAGGGGTGGAGACTGGTTCTCTACCAGAGATATCTCGAGAAACACTGATTTAGAACCACATAAGCCATAGCAGGAAGTTCCAGGAACAACAGGGGCCCTGGGGACAGAAGTTTCAGTGGGGCAAACAATAAGAACCCTAACCCTAATCCTGTTGGAGTAGTCGAGGGGAGTCCCGATGTTGGCTTGGACCGTGATATGTAGGAGGAGATAGAAATGTTATATTTTGGAGACAAAAACAACAGGACCAACTGATGGATTGGATGAGTTGAGGTGGCAGTAAGTGGAAGAGAGGAATCGATGATATTTAGATTTTTGGCGTGAGCTGCTGGCGTGAGCTGCTAGCTTGAGTTGTTTCTTAATCAAGGTAGGGGTACGTGCAGTGAGTTGTTAGCTAGTTGAGTTGTTTCTTAATCAACCTTGGCGTGACTTCTTCCTCTGGCACCCTGTTGAGGCCTCTCCATCAGATTAACAGGCTTCCTAGTTTCACACCCAGCAGTCCAATCTTCCTTTCTTTACCTCTAGTATCATTTAGTTTTATTGACCATCCAGCTCTTTCATGCTAACCCTTTTTTTGAGATTATGTTTTTCTCAGCCTCTTATCTATGCTCTTAGTTTGCCTCTCACACCTATGACCATTCCTCTTCTCTGTCTCTTCAGAAATGCAGCCTGTCCAAAACCAAACATCAACACTGCCCGTGGCTTTCCCCGACACACACATTTCTGTAAATGGTACTATTGACACTCTTTTGCGTTATCCAGTCTGGAGACTTGGTGCTGTTTTTGATGCTTCTGTGTCAGAACAGATCCATCACCTGCCAGTTCTTCCTGTGTAAAAGTCTATTTCATCTTTCCCCATCTTTCCATTCCACTGCCTCCTTCCTAGGTCAACCACATGGCTTTTGAACTACCCCAATGGCCTCCTAGCCATTCTCCTCTCCCATCAATACAGTAGTTTTATCACTAATCCCTAAGCTCAGCTCTAGTTTTGTCCTTTCCTTGCTTTGTACATAGCGAGTAGGTTCCCAATAAATATTTTTGGGATTGACCCATAATTATTATAACTAGCTTTTCTCTATCTGAGACAAGGTAGAAGAGTAACCAGGTGTGGAGAAAAACTGCTTCCTGTCTCTATTTACTGCCCTTTTTGTTACTGCTGGAGCAGGTTTTTCCCAAATTTTACTTGTTTTTCAATTTTTTGCTATTAAGGATTCAGTCAAATGTTTTTTAGGATGTACGTCGAAGTCATGTATACTGTGTTATATCTGTTTGTCCATGACAGGCCCTAAGTCATGGTATCGTCAATGAGACAATACTCTGTGAAAAATACAGAAGTCTACCCTTTATAAAAGGACAAAGGAAGAATGTTTTACCACTGTCATTCTTTTTTCCCTCTGGGCCTTTCAAGAGGAATGTGGGAGCCAGAGAGCCCCCTTTGTCTGCCTTCATTAAAATGAAGCACAGACAGCTGCAGCTGGCACACACAACAGGCTGTGGCAAGTGGAGTCCTTGGCTTCCTGCATTTGCAGTAAAATTTAGATGTCATTTGGGTGTAGTGTATACCGTCATGAAACATCTAGGACATGTTCAGTGATGAACACAAACTTTCCTCACTCATTATATGTCAGTTATAGGATATGATGACCTTAGCCCATAATCAAATATCCTTCTCAAAATTTCTCCCTCACAGAGCTAGAAGCATAATGAATGTGGTTGGTGCTGTCAACCATCCAGACACCAATTCCTGGGCCTCCTGATAAAGGGGCATTGTTTGCAGGGAGTCTTTGAGCTTTTCCTGCTTCTGTTAATGATTTAATTAACAACAGGAAGTACATGGAATGGAATAAAATTGTAAATAGTATCTCTGACATAGTCATATACTTCATCCTTTTAGAAAAATCACAACATAAAGACAGTATACATGGAAACATTTTATTTATTGTAGGGTATAGCATTTTTTTCCTTGTTAAATCTAAATTCTAAGTCCAGTCATAATCTTACATTTATCTAGTGCCTGTCAAAGGATCTGATCTTAATGTGGTCCTCATCACCAACCCCAATAGGACAAGAGGTCTTTTATCAGCAGGAAAACATCATTGACCCGCTTCAGGTTAACTGAAGGACTCTGGACCAGATTTTTTAGGTCTGAGCTAATGTAATATGATAAACAAGAAATAATTGATTTAACTATATAGCATGTGACAAAAATCTAAATTTTAGAACTCTTAGTGGGCTAGGGATATTATTTTGCTTCAGTTAGATTTTTTAAAATTTGGCAAATTGAACTGATATCTAGTTTTTTAAGGCCTGGTCTCAGCATTTTTAATGACTTTTTTTCACGCTATGGGGCTTTCTTTCATGGATCAGTTTTCTGAACTAATCTAGTTGAATTGAGTTTGTGAGGGAATGAACAGAAACAACTATCTTCACAATCCTATTCTTTACAAAGGTTCGAAGGACTTTAGAGAAATCAAAAGGAACCACAGGTAAATGTGTAGGCTGTAAAAAGAAACACAAAAGGTAACTGGTCAAATGCCACTTTGGGAGGGATAAAAGGAAGGTTAAAGAGCAACTAAGGGCTATTTTTTTCTATTGAGAAATCAGAAAACCCTGTTAGTGATGGAGTCCTCAGCCAATGTTCTGTTCTGTGCAGCCTCACCTGCAGCCCTGTCTCTGTGATTTCAAAGCCTACTTCCTACTTTCTCAGTATGTATCTATGTTTTGTAGCTGATGCCTGGTATTCCATAAGAAGTGAGACTTTGCTGTATCTTTGACCTTCATGCAATTAAGTTAAACCTACTGTGCATAATGAATTATATGAGAGACAGGACAAGGTGCTACCATAGCTGATAGGAAACTGTAGAAACATCATTTCATGCCATGCATGGAGAACTTGAGGGTTATGAAAAGACTACATTTATAGACATTTAAGTTAAAAGAGTCTCTTTTCAATTTAGTCGTCTTTCTCTACGTAGGTCAAATGTTTTGGTAGAGTGTTCCATTTCAGCACACTGCATGCTGTATTGGATTTTGTGAGTGTTTTCTGCTCTGTGTGTTCCCTCATACTGAGGGCGGTAAAAAGCAAGGGACTCCAGTGTATTTGCTGTGCACCTCTCCAAGCTAGCCCAGGGCCTGTGCAAAGTGAATGTGGGTAGAGGAAGGAGTGGTAAGGCGAGTCTTCAAAGTTGATATGCCACAGATGGGATTCAGTGCAGCATTGCTTACTCTTGTCACTTTGTGCAAAGGGAAAAGTCTGTGAACTGGCTGTGTGGTAGATTGTGAATTCATCTCAATTGTTTTATATCGATACGTCCCTGGAGAAAATAGATGTCTGTGAGTGAGCCCTAGACTTCATGTCTAAATTTAATCGTGGGTAAGTCTATGCCCTGGTTTTTCCTGTCCCTAGAATCCATCTTATAACAACTTAGTTCCTGCTTTAGAGATGTAGTACTTTCTGCTTCATAGCTGGGGGAGCTCCTTAGCAGGCTCTTTTTTTTTGAGACGGAGTTTTGCTCTTGTCGCCTAGGCTGGAGTGCAATGGTGCACTCTTGGCTCACCGCAACCTCCGCCTCCCAGGTTGAAGCAATTCTCTGCCTCAGCCTCCTGAGTAGCTGGGATTACAGGCGTGCACCACCACGCCCAGCTAATTTTGTATTTTTAGCAGAGATGGGGTTTCTCCATGTTGGTCAGGCTGGTCTCGAACTCCTGACCTCAGGTGATCCCTGCCTCGGCCTCCAAAAGTGCTGGGATTACAAGTGTGAGCCGCCCCGCCCGGCCTCTTGGCAGACTCTTGAAAGCCCCAGGGGAAGTCCTGTGGATTTGACAGCATCTAAGAGGGGGGGGTGGGACTCACTCAATTGAAAGTCTCAAAAAGCTGCTCCTTTTAGTGATAGCAACAAGGAGTGTCTTGTTCTATCCTCTGGAGTCCCTGTGAGGGGTGGCCATGTCTAAGAGATGCTATTAGCATCCAGGCAGCATGCCACAGAAGTGAAAGATTTCATCTGGACTTCTGGAAACTGGCTGTAGGGCAAAGCCACTGCTGATACTGGCCACTCAGTGCCAGAGACGGTGTCTGTGTACAGGAAGATCTGCCTCACTGGCTCCAAGTTGCTCTAAATTGCTCCAGAAGACAGCAGTATAGGCTATGTATAATTTGTTTCAGTATGGCATAGAGAGACACAAATGGATCATTTTAGATTTCTCTTGGTGAGCAACACTTCTATTCATGAGGTATTTTGTTTTCGATTGGCTTTGTACTTTGCAAATTCCACTTGAGCCTGTGTAAAAAATAGATCTTATTCCCAATAAAGACATCATAGCAAAGATACAAGTGTTTGCCTGGGAATTATTTTACATGAAGTTGTGCTTTGCTTATTTCTTACAGAACTATTGTAAAGCCCTTTGTCCTGTATTAGAGAGAGAGAGAGAGAGAGAGGTTTTAAAAGCAAGACAGGAGCCTTGGCTTCTATATAAATTGTGCATATTACTACTTGACACACCATCTTGATCAAGGCCCAGCCTCATCTTAATCTTTGAAAATGCCTGTCTTTCAAGATACCACAGTTTCCACCCTTCCTGCCTTCCATCATTATTTTGTAAACACCTGCTGCGTAACACCACCTCTTTGATTTCAGACTGCCTGGGTTAGGTGCTTAACATACCAGACTTGCTTTGTCCTCTGAAAAAAATAGAAATAATTTTGGTAATATTTTCTTTTCAAGATTGTTGTAAAAATTAGATTAGATGATACTTGCAATTGTTTAGTACCATACCTGACACATAGGTGCTTCAGAATATTATTTAGAACAAGGCCCAATTCCTGCCATTCTGGAGTTTATAGCCTGGTAAGAGAAGCAGATGAGTCAGTAAATGATTGGGCTCAATATGTGATGAGTTATATAATTCATTCATTAGCAGACATATACTGAGCCCCTGTTACGTGTTGGGCAATGTTGTAGAGATAATGCAGTGAACCAAATGGATAAGCTGCCTGCTTTTATGAGGCTTACTGTTGACCAGCAATATAATAGAATTGTGCAGAGGGGTGCCCTAGAAACAGGATTATCAGACTGGGATGGAGATGGAAGGATTGGTTTATGTATCAGAGGAGCCCCCACTGGAGGAAGTGAGCCTTGTGTTTTCAGCATTGAGTGGATATATGTTGAGCAAAAGAAGCCAAATACAAAAGCATACATACTAAAGGATTTCATTTGCAAAAAGTACAAAAGAAGCATGGTAATAGAAATTCCATGGTAATGGAAAACAAGAGCAGTCACCTTTGGACAGAGGTTATTGATTGGAAAGGGTCAGAATGGAAATGCCTGGCGCATCTGTGTCTTGGTAAGTAAACACAGAGCTGTACACGCTTATGATTAACTCAGTTTATGTTATGTATGTTAAGAAATTTTAATGGCAATAATGAGTGGGCTTATCTACGCAAAAACAGGGAAGGAATAGGAAAGGCTGGGGCAAGGGTGCTATGTTCCAATGCGGTAAGTCATCCTCTCTGCCTGGGTTGGAAGGATGCATATGGGGATGAAGGTGGGGTGACAGCGACAAGCATCTGTAGATTCAGGCTGCTATGAGAGAAGAGTTTTTTTCCCCAGGTGTTGGTCATGAAGGCATTTTTTCTTAAGAATGTAGAGTGGCACAGTAGAAACTGACTTTGGTTTGAATTGCTTGCCTCTGAACTTCTGTCTGATCTTAGCATCCTTCAGATGGGCTTTTGAGAGGATTACATGGAATAGTGGATGTTGAGTGCAGTGTCTGACATGTAGCATGTGTTTAATAAATACATAAGAGAGTTAAAAGTATGTGTGTGGCGGGGCAGTATTTAATTAATTGTAATTTTAATACTTGGTGCTCAAAATAAAAAACCAGGGTGACTGCATTATGTAGAGAAGTGCTTGCTTATCTGAAACTTTTGATCCTTTAGTTGAATAATTATTTTTATGTAATTATAGCTTAATATTATATTAAAAGTATTGGTCATTTTTCCTGTGCTCATTAAACCATTTTAAGCATTTGGGAACAGTGTAAAAGTGGCCAAAGAATTTCTATTTCAGTAAGACTCATATTTGGCAAAATTAGTTGTATGAGGGATGAGACAACTAAATATGTCAAGTTTCTCAAGTTTACGGAAAGGTTTGAGTGTGTGGGAAGGGAAGTGGGGAGGAAGCAGAGAAATTAGTAGGATTTTTAAAAAATGAAACTTAACTGCTTTTGAAATGTTAAACATCAAATTATGGGTATGCTAAATACCTTTTGGAGTTATAATGTGTTCGTGTAATCAGCTCCTTATTAACTTTTAAACTGTCATATGGGAAGTTCCTTTTAATCAATAATGAGCCAAGTTCATTCAGACTCTTTTGACAATGATGACTAGTCTCCTGCTTATTTTAGACTTTCCAGCTTATCACTTTTAAACTACTCTCACCCTGTTTTACCATACCTCTCTAGAGAATCTCTTGTTTTCTGGGAGTGCCTTTGCATTGGCTGCCTAGAAAACACTCCATTCTGTGTTTTTACACCTTGAGTCTCTCAGTTGGATCTGCCCTCTGTTTTAGGAGCGAGCGAGCCCGCTGGATAACTGCCCTGGGACACAGCAGCGGGAAGCCGCCTGCAGACCGAACCTGTAAGTTCTCTCAAGGGGAAGCCCACTTGGGAACATGGATGGGCTCTGCCCCCTGCTGGACGCCGGGTTACTAACGAGTTATATTGCCACAATACTTGCCTAAGTTTCCTCCAGGGCTTCCTTCTGCTTTACACCAAAAATGTATGATCCTTGCTTTGGAAGTCAGGGGGTCTGAATTCAAATCCAAGGTGCATTTCTTTGTTGTGTAAACGTGTCAAATCATTGCTTAGCATTGCAGAGCCTATTTAACCATCTGCAAGTCAGTTACACCATTATATACAACATGGGGTTATTGTGAAGATTAAGTTAAATAATCTATGTTAAAAGCCCTACTTGAACTGTAAAGCCCTTAAATTTTTAGCTATTATCAGTGGGCAACAGTTGATCATGTTTAAACCTTCTACATACTGACAGTCTGGATTTAAGCTGAAAAGTATTTTTAATCTAAAAGAAAATTACCTAAGAATTCTTTTTGACCTTCTAAGAAAGTGTGTTTCACTATTCTAGAGAATTAGAAACTGGCGCAGTGAAGGGGGGTGTTGTATGCCTATTAGCTTCCTAACTTTGATGCTGTGGTTTCTTAGATTATTACAGTTGCAAGGTCAAATCCAAAGAATTAGAACAAAACATTGTTATCCTGGAACACTCAAAAATTATAGCTTTAAGCTTAGATTAAAAGCCAAAATGACTGGTTTGAAAGTTCCCGGAAATCAAGCTTTGTATTAAAAAGCAAATTAAGAAGTCACATGTCAGCATTTTGTTTGTTTGTTTTGAGATGGAGTCTCGCTCTGGTGCTATCTCAGCTCACTGCAAGCTCCGTCTCCTGGGTTCATACCATTCTCCTGCCTCAGCCTCCCAAGTAGCTGAGACTACAGGCGCCCGCCACCATGCCCAGCTAATTTTTTGTATTTTTAGTAGAGACGGGGTTTCACCGTGTTAGCCAGGATGGTCCCAATCTCCTGACCTCGTGATCCGCCTGCCTCGGCCTCCCAAAGTGCTGGGATTACAGGCGTGAGCCACCGTGCCCGGCCACATGTCAGCATTTCTGAGGAGGTCTAACATGACTTCTCAGCTTTTGGTTGGAGCTCATTTTATTTCTAAACTTTTTTTTGGAAACTTTCATGTGCTGCTGTTGGGATGGGGAGACACTCTGATGAGAGCCAGGAGAACTGTGTCTGTTGCAGATTTTGCATGGCCTTGGCACATCAGCAACTCTTTCATGTCTCAGTTTCCCTAATGCAGAGTGGCTGTTTTCTGTTCCATTGTGTGACATGACTAATGACTCCTGATCAACCTGTTATTGAGGGGAATCATGCATCATAAAAGGCCTCTCAAATCTGAGCTTCTAAAATTCTAAAGCTTATAGCCAAGCAAGGGAGTTGCTAGAAAAGATGTTCTGCTTTTTATTAGAAGCCCAACTTGTTTCTCTCAATGCTGGCCCTGAATTGCAGAGAAAAATAAGTAAGTGTACATTATTGGATTGCACATGTTTTTTCTCTGCTACTGGAAACTTAGTATGTCCTCTTTTGGCCTCAGCACTGACCCAGGTGGAAATCGTTAGGTCATTTACTGCTAAGCAGCCAGATGAACTCTCCCTGCAGGTGGCTGACGTCGTCCTCATCTATCAACGTGTCAGCGATGGTGAGTGGGAGCGTTCTTATGGGACACTCGTGGTCCAGGATGCAGAGTGCTATAGACCCGAGGAGTGTCATTTTGTCATCATTGCCCATATTCCAAATCTTGACATGTTAATGTTTGAGATCACATATATGTACTGTCTTCTCATCTCTAAGGCTAAACCATGACGTTTTCTTTTTTCCCCAGTCCCTCAGTGACCCAGTTCTTATCTCTAAATATTCGTCCTTTCAAAAATAGCATTCTTCCTGCTATCCTTTACCCAAAGCATCTCCTTTCCCAGCTCAGCCCAGGTTCAAATACTCTCAGCCTTCTCACTTCAGGGCCTCTGCTCACGTTCTTTCCCTGCCATGTCATTCATTCCCCCTCGAAAGCTTTCCCTGTCCCACTTTCTCTTCTCACCGTAGCACTTAGCCTGGGGAGGGATGCTGCCTCTCAGCTTTTTCATATCCTTGGAGCCTGGCACACTCCAAATACTTGTTGTTTGGTGTGGACTCTGTTCTTTTTCACAGGCTGGTATGAGGGGGAACGACTACGAGATGGAGAAAGAGGCTGGTTTCCTATGGAATGTGCCAAGGAGATAACATGTCAAGCTACAATTGATAAGAATGTGGAGAGAATGGGACGCTTGCTAGGACTGGAGACCAACGTGTAGTCTCTCAGATGGTCTTTTGTTACTGCAAGATTTGCACGACACTTACCGGGCTGGTTGGTTCTGGGCTAGTTTTATTGTTAATTTTGTCACAGCCTATTTAATTAAAAGAACGAAAACACTTGCCTTTAAGCTTGCCAGGTTGTTCTGCTCTCTCATGAGAAGAGCTTGGATACAGTGAGTTTGCACAGCTCAGTTTTTACCTAACCACACACTTGCAGACCTCCTGAGGTACACAGAATAGCTGAGCAGTTCACTTCAGGGATCAGGTCATCTCTGCTCCTCCTAGTTTCACCATGTTCTGGCAATAAAAAACACATATTATATCCTGGTTTTCTCTATCCTTGCATTACTAAGGTGACTGTCTCTCTTTATACATCCTTGTATGGTTCTCCCAGTATTAGCAAGATTGTATATCTGTAAAGAATGTCCAGTTTTGTAAATATTTCCCTGCCTTTTTTTTTCTTTTTTTACATCTGATTTTAATGCTTCGTTAACTTCAAAAGGAACTGGTAGAGTTCAGAAGGTGAGCTGTTGTTTTTCTAAACCTCTTCCCAGGAAGGGGACATTGACACTTGAATTTTTGTCACCTTTTTCCTCATTAGAAGGAAAGTAGAAAGCCTTACTTTAGGATTTTTAAAAAAAAATCCATCTCACCCCATATTGTTCTTAAATAAGTATAGACTAATTAACCTAAGCTACCTTTAACAACGTAGAATTTAGATGGGTTCATATATGTGAGAAAAACCTGAATATAGGACAGGGGTCCTACTTTTTTCCCCACCTCTGTCGCCCAGGCTAGAGTATAGTGGTGTGATCTTGGCCCACTGCAACCTCTGCTTCCTAGGTTCAAGTGATTCTCCTGCCTCAGCCTCCCAAGTAGCTGGGATTGTAAGAGTATGCCACCACGCCCAGCTACTTTTTGTATTTTTAGTAGAGACAGGGTTTCATCATGTTGGCCAGGATGGTCTCTTAACTCCTGCCCTCAAGTGATCCACCAGAGAGGAGATCCTCGGCCTCCCCAAGTGCTGGGATTATAGGCATGAGCCACCGTGCCCAGCCTACTTTCTAATTAATTAAAAAAAAAAAAAAAAAAAAAAAAAAACCTTCCCAAATGAGCTGATAAAAAACTGACGTGAGGCTGCTTTGCCTTCAATAATACCTAGTTTTCAGCTGTTCCAACTCGTTTCCAAATAGAAATTAGCTGGAACACACTACAGTAATCTCAAGGAAGGGAAAATTAGGCCTTAAAAGATACCAAGAAGTCAGCATGGTACCCAATTGAAACCTTTTGACCTTAGTGGGAATTCATTCTATTTGCACTAAAAGCCTTAACTTGCTGTATTCAGAGTCCCTCTTAACTGTGAGTTTCTATAGAACTTTACTTTTTCCACTAGTGCACAGAGAGAGAAAGGTTATCTTAATAGTCGGTTTCATGGAGATGAAGGATGGGAGATTAAGAGGGGGGAAATGATTTTTACTGGCAGCTATATTCCCTCTCTGTTCTATTTGCTTTAACAAAGGGATAAAACCTGGCAAAGTGTACATTATTGGAGGACTCAAATCTGTATGTGACATGTCCCAACTACTGTCCGCTAACTAGTTATCCAAATTGTAAAGCTACAGAAGCCCAGTTGAGGGGTAAGTGTGCCTGGCTCACACAGCCTGCACCCTGTCACCTCGGCAATGAGCCAGTGTGGGGCACTGGGGACTTCTAACCCTTGGATTGCTCTTTTTGACCTGTGCATACCTTCTAATTGTAAAATATATTTCAGACCGTGAGTACCTTGAGATCTGAGCAACTGTGTTAATGAAGTAATAGCAATGGTCCACAGTGAAAGATGTGTTGGGGTTTGCAAAACAAGCATTCCGTCACCTCTTTAATAATGTCACAGACTTTTTAAAAGAGAGGCTATCAAGTTGTAATATAATCTGTCATGTTTTATTTAGGAAGGAAGGTAAATTTGTGCTTGCACGGGGATCATTTTGTATTATTTTTGCTAATACCCAGTTGAAGCTAAAAAGCAACTATTTGAATCCTGTGAATTAATTTATAAGAATGTTAAACAGCTTTGGAAATACATGCATCTTATGAATCATAGCCTTATTTAGCAAGATCAATGTTAAAGTGTTGTTATATGGCAAGTATTTAACACATTCACAGTGTTTGTTTGATTTCAACTGTGAATTGTCTTAAGTTTTTTCAAACCTAGTTGTTTCTATGGACACCTGCTCTGAATTGTACATTGACTTCATTACTAAAGAACAAAAATGTTCATTTTTGTCCCAGTAAATTGAGACTGCTTGTACACTTTCAGAAAAATATGTGAATTTATAAAGATTTTGTAGATACTTGTCCTTTTGTGCTGGTGTGATTTATTTTACTCTAGGTTGTTTTCAGTTAAGTATACAGTTTCCTGGGTTTTTGGCCAAATCAGAGCTCTATTTAAAAGGTATCTGTAGCTAACATTTCAGAGGACTAATCTTTTCTCTTTGGGTACATGCTGGCATCAGCTGCCCTAGAAGACTAGAACATTTTTAGGAGATGGGTCATGCTGTTTCTTCTCGTAGTTGGCATAAACCTGCAGGACTAAATCGCTTATCTTACATAGTGCACAGTTCCCTTATCCCCTGGAGCATATTCTACCATTCATTTGGTCACCTCGTATCTGAACCCTTGTGTTTGTGAAATTTTACCACCTTGTGAACCTTGGTAGAAGTAAAAAAATGACTTCCTTGACATTAGTTTTTTTTTTGCTGCATAACAAATTGCCACACACTTAGTGGCATAAAACAATACCCATTTAATATCTCACAGTTCTGTAGTCAGAAGTCTAGAATAGCATGGGTGGGTTCTCTGCTTAGAGTTTCACAAGGCTCTAAGTGTTGGCTGGCTGCTTTCTTACCTGGAGCTTGGTGTCTTCTTTCAAGCTCATTTCTGTTATTGGCAGGATTCACGTCCTTGCTGTTGCTGAGCTGAGGTCCTTGTTTGCTTGCTGGCTGTGAGCTGGGGGCTGCTCACAGCTTCTAGAGGCCCTTCATATCCTCGCCACAGGCTCCTTCCATCTTCAAAGCAGCAATGGCATGTTAACTCCTTTTCTCACTTGGAATCTGTTTGACTCCCTCCTAGGCTACCAGCGGGAGAAAACTCTGCTTTTAAATAACTTCTTACATAATTAGGTTAGACTCATGAGATAAGTCCCTTATGACACTAACTCAAAATCAAATGATTTGGGACCTTAATTACATCTGCTAAATTCCTTTGCCATGCAATATAAAATAATTATGGATGTAGTATCAGGGAGGGATATTGGGGGACATCTTAGATTTCTGCCTATAACACCTTCTATAAAACCTTAAGATGTTTGAGGCTTAGAGTTTCCAGCATCTCTTGCAGCTAAGATACACCTAGCTATGTGATAGGAAACAGCAATCAGCTACCTCTATCTTAGAATACACCACTCAAAGCCTTCTTTCCTGGATTTTCACTCAAGCTAGTGATGGAAGAGGAAAGAGGTAAGGAATACCATCCCTGGAAGTAGCAGGATGCATCCTCCTATTTGCTCCATCCCCTATCTGAAATCGCTGATGCATTTTTCCTAGGCTTTGGCAAGTACCAGAGAGGCAGAGCTACTTGGTGGACTTGCAGTGCTAAAAAATAATCCAGGTCAGTGTTTAGTACCATTAATAACACTTCTCATGGATTTGGTCCCTAAAGGGCTTATTCTCCTGTGGGAGTATGAATCTGAAAGATCTAAAGGTTTGCTTTCTGAGTTTTCAGTATATTAAAGTCCTGGAAGAAGAAAACACATCCTGTCTCTGAAAGAAACCAGCATCATCAGAACTAAGACTTCTGTTACTTCTAAAAGCAAATTGTCAAAGTTTCAGTAAACACTAAGACATGGCATTGTGATCCAGAAAAAAACAAACACAGGGACTCTGTATACTAGAATCATTAGGTATAGACATTAAAGTACTTACCATTGCTGTTGATGGAGATAAAGCCATAACGGAACTACACAGCTGTGTAGTAGAAGAAAAAAACCTAGAAATTATGGAACCGCGTTTAATGCCAGATTAGGTAAGAGTTAAAAGAGATATTGGGGAACGGGAAGAGAGGCTAGAAGATTCTACCCATAAGGAAGCATGGAGAGAGGAGACCTGGAGAATGTAGGGATTTAACTGGAATCCCAGAGGAGAGTGGAGAGAGAAAGCAGCATTGGCAAGGGGCTGGACCTTTATAACCCTGCTCTGACCAGATATGAGAGGCAGGCTATCCCCAGGAAAAGAGAGTGGTCTTGGATAAGGTGGCTCCCTTCAGCTCAGGACAATTCCCATAGAGGGTTGATGGGTGAAGGCTGTCATCCAGTTGCATTCCCAGCACCTAAAGCAAAAAGTCCTTCAGTCCTGATGGGGGGTCAGGGCAGAACATCACAACGTTCACTAAATGGAGCTCTATCAATGTTACATAAAGTGGTCTTTAGGGTAAAAGGTATCACTAGGGATAAAGTGGGTGCCTACATAGTGATGAACGTTTCATCTAATCAGGAAGATGGAGTAACTTAAATATATATTCTAGCAATAACCTAGCATATTTAACTATATGGCCTCAACTAAATAAAGTTGGCAGAAATATAAGAAAAAATAATTAAAATCATAGCATGAGACTTCAACACATCTCTCAGTATTTGATAGGAAGAATAGATACAATCAGGAAAAGAATAGAAAATTTTAATGAAATAGTTTAACATAATGGGAATATATAGGACACTCTGCAAACAATTTCAGCATATACATACTTTTCAAGCACATAAAATATTTACAACATTTGGCTATTCCCTGGGCCATAAGGCAAATTCCAACAAATTTTAAAGAACTGAAGTTATGCAGAGTGAGTTCTTTGATGGCAACATAAGTAGGTCAGAAAACAAAAATTAAGAATTATCAATTTATTTGGAAAGTTAGGCCTTTCCAAATGCAAAATTATAAAATTCCTTGAAGATGACATAGGAGACAATCTAGGTGACCTCGGGTTTGGTAATGACTTTTTATCTACAACATAAAAAGTATGGTCCATGAAGAAAAAAAATTGGTAAGTTGAACTTTTACAGTAAAAACCTCAGTTCTGTGAAAGACACTGTTAGAATAAAAAGCCACAGACAGGAAATATTTGCAAAACAAAGGATTGGCAATCAAAAACATACAGAAAACTTAAAACTCAACAGAAAAACAACCCAGTGTTCAAATTCAGGGGTGGCGGGGGGGGAACTAGGCAACTCACCAAAGATAACACAATTAGTAAATAAACATATGAAAAGATATCTAAGATCATACATGAGGGATGAATTTAAAGGAGATGCCACTATATTCATTAGAATAGCTGAAGTCTAAGACCCTGAAAATACCAAATACTGATGAGGATGTGGAGCAGCAGGAACTCTTACTCACTGCTGATGGAAATGCAAAAACAACTTGGGAAGACAGTTGGGCAGTTTCTTAGAGAAATACACACCTACCATATGATCCAACAATTACACTCCTTGGTATTTATCCAAATGAGTTGAAAATATGCCCACAGGAAAACCTGCACATAAATGTGTATAGCAGCTTTACTCATAATTGTCAAAACTTGAAAGCAACTAAGATGTCCTTCAATAGATGAATGGATAAACTGTTACATCTATACAATGGGATATTAATGAGCAATAAAAAAAAGTTATCAAGCCATAAAAAGACATGAAGTAACCTTAAATGCACATTGCCAGGTGAAAGAAGCCAATCTGAAAAGCCTACACACTTTATGACTCCAAATAAATGACATTCTGGAAAGGCAAACCACATAGAGTGGTTGCCTGGGACTCAGGGGTAGGGAGGGAAGAATAGGTAGAGCACAGAGGATTTTTTAGGGCAGTGAAAGTGTTCTCTGATACGGTGATAGTGGATACATATACATGTGTCAAAATGTACAACACAAAGAGTGAACCCTATGTAAACTACGGACTTTAATAATGAAGTATCAAAATTAGCTCATTAATTATAACAAATATAATCCATAATACAAGATGTTAATTTAAAAAAACTGGTGGGAGGGGGTAAAGGGGATTATGGGACCTCTGTACCTTTTGCTCAATTTTTCTGTAAACCTAAAACTGCTCTAAAAAGTGAAGTATTAATTTTTAAAAAAGAATTGCTGAAGAAAGTTTTTCAAAGTAAGGAAATAACAGAATGAAACTTGGAAGATGAGGAATGAAGAACAGAATGGGTAAACATTTGGGTAAATATAATAGGCTATCCTTGAGTTTTAAAAATGTGAGATGGCTGAAAGCAAAATTATATTATCTGACATGGTTGTCAATGTATGTAAAGGAATTATTTAAGAAAATAAATTATAAAGCAGTAAGCTAAATACCTAAGTGGCTGTAAAGTTCTTACATTTCACTAGAAGTGTCAAACTGTTGATACTAGTCAACTGATGTTATATATGTATACTGTAATCCACTGAGCAACAAAAAATGTATACGAAGTGATATATTTAAAAACACAATAGACAAGGCAAAACAGAACAGTAAAAAATAAGAAAAAAATCAGGTACCCACAGGAAGGCAGGAAAAGGGAAACAGGAAAGAAAAAAATATATAAAGAAAGCAAAAATAGAACAGCAGACTTCACTCCTAACATGAATGAATATATAAAATTTGAGTGTCTAAATTGTAATTAGAAGACAGATTCACAGAAACTTTAAAAATTACCGGACCATATGCTATCCATTCAAAACACATTTCAAATACAATAAATATAGGTAGGTTTAGAATAAATGAAGGGAAAAACATGTCAAGCAAATACCAATCCAAAAAAAAAAAAAAAAAGCTGAAATGGCTATACTAATATCAGACAAAGCCTTCAGAGCAAAGGGAATTATCAGGCACAGAGGGGGACAATATATAACGATACAAGGGTCAGTATGCCAAGAAGACATAAAAATCTTAAATATGTATGCAGCAAGTAATACAGCTTTAAAATACATGAAGTACAAACTAGGACAGAATACATGAACTAGAATATATGAAGTACAAAACAGAACTAAAAGGAAAACATAGACAAATGACAATATAGTGTTAAGAGTATAGAACAGGATTTCGAAGATGGCCGAATAGGAACAGCTCCAATCTACAGCTCCCAGCGTGAGCGACACAGACGGGTGATTTCTGCATTTCCAACTGAGGTACCGGGTTCATCTCACTGGGACTTGTTGGACAGTGGGTGCAGCCCACAGAGTGTGAGGGGAAGCAGGGCGGGGCATCGCTGCACTGGGGAATCACAAGGGGTTGGGGAATTCCATTTCCTAGCGAAGGGAAGCCATGACAGACAGTATCTGGAAAATCGGAACACTCCCACCCTAATACTGCACCTTTCCAATGGTTTTAGCAAATGGCACACCAGGAGATTATATCCCATGCCTAGCTCAGAGGGTCCCAAGCCCATGGAGCCTTGCTCACTGCTAGCACAGCAGTCCAAGATCAAACTGCGAGGCGGTGGCGAAGCTGGGGAGGGGCGTCTGCCATTCCTGAGGCTTGACTAGGTAAACAAAGCGGCCAGGAAGCTTGAACTGGGTGGAGCCCACCACAGCTCAAAGAGGTCTGCCTGCCTCTGTAGACTTCACCTCTGGGGACAGGGAATAGCTAAACAAAAGGCAGCAGAAACTTCTGCAGACTTAAACATCCTTGTCTGACAGCTTTGAAGAGAATAGTGGTTCTCCCAGCACTGAGTTTGATATCTGAGAACAGACAGACTGCCTCCTCAGGTGGGTCCCTGACCCCTGAGTAGCCTAACTGGGAGACACCTCCTAGTAGGGGCCTACTGACACCTCATACAGGTGGGTGCCCCCCTGAGACAAAGCTTCCAGAGGAAGGATCAGGCAGCAACATTTGCTGTTCTGCGGCCTCTGCTGGTGATACCCAGGCAAACAGGGTCTGCAGTGGACGTCCAGCAAACTCCAACAGACCTGCAGCTGAGAGTCCTGTTAGAAGGAAAACTAACGAAGAGAAAGAAATAGCATCAACATCAACAAAAATGACATCCACACCAAAACCCCACCTGTAGGTTACCATCATCAAAGACCAAAGGTAGATAAAACCACAAAGGGGGAGAAATCAGAGCAGAAAAGCTGAAAACTCTAAAAACCAGAGCACCTCTTCTCCTCCAAAGGATTGCAGCTCCTCGCTAGCAACAGAACAAAGCTGGACAAAGAGTGACTTTGATGAGTTGAGAGAAGTAGGCTTCAGAAAGTCGGTAATAACAAACTTTCCCGAGCTAAAGGAAGATGTTCGAACCCATCGCAAGGAAGCTAAAAACCTTGAAAAGGATTAGACGAATGGCTAACTAGAATAAACAGTGCAGAGAGGTTCTTAAATGACCTGAAGGAGCTGAAAACCATGGCACGAGAACTACGTGACACATGCACAAGCTTCAGTAGCCGATTCGATTGAGTGGAAGAAAGGGTATCAGTGATTGACGATCAAAAGAATGAAATAAAGCAAGAAGAGAAGTTGAGAAAAAAAGAGTAAAAAGAAACAAACAAAACCTCCAAGAAATATCAGACTATGTGAAAAGACCAAATCTATGTTTGATTGGTGTACCTCAAAGTGACGGGGAGAATGGAACCAAGTTGGAAAACACTGCAGGATATTATCCAGGAGAACTTCCCCAACCTAGCAAGGCAGGCCAACATTCAAATATAGGAAACACACAGATGCCACAAAGATACTCCTCGAGAAGAGCAACCCTGAGACACATAATTCTCACATTGACCAAGGTTGAAATGAAGGAAAAAAAAATCTTAAAGAGCAGCCAGAGAGAAAGGTCAGGTTACCATAAAGGGAAGCACATCAGACTAACAGCAGATCTCTCAGCAGAAACTCTACAAGCCAGAAGAGAGTGGGTGCCAATATTCAACATTCTTAAAGAAAAGAATTTTCAACCCAGAAATTCATATCCAGCCAAACTAAGCTTCATAAGTGAAGGAGAAATAAAATCCTTTACAGCAAGCAAATGCTGAGAGATTTGTCACACCAGGCCTGCCTTACAAGAGCTCCTGAAGGAAGCACTAAACGTAGAAAGGAACAACTGGTAGCAGCCACTGCAAAAACATGCCAAATTGTAAAGACCATTGATGCTAGGAATAAACTGCATCAACTAACGAGCAAAATAACCAGTTAACATCATAATGACAGGATCAAATTCACACATAACAATATTAACCTTAAATGTAAATGGGCTAAATGCCCCAATTAAAAGAAAAAGACTGGCAAATTGGATAAAGAGTCAAGACCCATCAGTGTGCTGTATTCAGGAGACCCATCTCACCTGCAGAAACACACATAGGCTCAAAATAAAGGGATGGAGGAAGATCTACCAAGCAAATGGAAAATAAAAAAAAAGCAGGGGTTGCAATCATAGTCTCTGATAAAACAAACTTTAAACCAACAAAGATCAAAAGAGACAAAGAAGGCCATTACATAATGGTAAAGGTATCAATGCGACAAGAAGAGCTAACTCTCCTAAATATATATGCACCCAGTACAGGAGCACCCAGATTCATAACGCAAATCCTTAGAGACCTACAAAGAGACTTAGACTCCCACACAGTAATAATGGGAGACTTTAACACCACACTGTCAACATTAGACAGATCAAGGAGACAGAGTGTTAAAAAGGATATCCAGGAATTGAACTCAGCTCTGCACCAAGCAGACCTAATAGACATCTACAGAACTCTCCACCCCAAATCAACAAAATACACATTCTTCTCAGCACCACATCACACTTATTCCAAAATTGACCACATACTTGGAAGTAAAGCACTCCTCAGCAAATGTAAAAGAACAGAAATTATAACAAACTGTCTCTCAGACCACAGTGCAATCAAATTAGAACTCAGGATTAAGAAACTCACTCAAAACTGCACAACTACATGGAAACTGAACAACCTGCTTCTGAATGATTACTGGGTAAAAAACGAAATGAAGGCAGAAATAAAGATGTTCTTTGAAACCAATGAGAACAAAGACACAACATACCAGAATCTCTGGGACACATTTAAAGCAGTGGGTAGAAGGAAATTTATAGCACTAAATGCCCACAAGAGAAAGCAGGAAAGATCTAAAATTGACACCCTAACATCACAATTAAAAGAACTAGAGAAGCAAGAGCAAATACATTCAAAAGCTAGCAGAAGGCAAGAAATAATTAAGATCAGAGCAGAACTGAAGGATATACACAAAAAACCCTTCAAAAAAATCAATGAATCCAGGAGCTGGCTTTTTGAAAAGATCAACAAAATTGATAGACCGCTAGGAAGACTAATAAAGAAGAAAAGAGAGAAGAATCAAATAGGCACAATAAAAAATGACAAAGAGGATATCACCACTGATCCCACAGAAATACAAACTACCATCAGACAGTATTATAAACATCTCTACGCAAATAAGAAAATCTAGAAGAAATGGATAAATTCCTGGACACATACACCCTCCCAAGACCAAACCAGGAAGAAGTTGAATCCCTGAATAGACCAATAACAGGTTCTGAAATTGAGGCAATAATTAATAGCCTACCAACCAAAAAAAAGTCCAGGACCAGATGGATTCACAGCCGAATTCTACCAGAGGTACAAGGAGGAGCTGGTACCATTCCTTCTGAAACTATTCCAATCAATAGAAGAAGAGGGAACCCTCCCTAACTCATTTTATAAGGCCAGCATCATCCTGATACCAAAGCCTGGCAGAGACCCAAGAAAAAAAGAGAATTTTAGACCAGTATCCCTGATCAGTCGAGGCAAAAACCCTCAATAAAATACTGGCAAACCGAATCCAGCAGCACATCAAAAAGCTTATCCACCACGATCAAGTTGGCTTCATCCCTGGGATGCAAGGCTGGTTCAACATACGCACATCAATAAACATAATCCATCATAAAACAGAACCAAAGACAAAACCCACGATTATCTCAACAGATGCAGAAAAGGCCTTTGACAAAATTCAACAGCCCTTCATGCTAAAAATTCTCAATAAACTAGGTATTGATGGGACGTATCTCAAAATAATAAGAGCTATTTATGACAGACCCACAGCCAATATCATACTGAATGGGCAAAAACTAGAACCATTCCCTTTGAAAACTGGCACAAGACAGGGATGCCCTCTTTCACCACTCCTATTCAACATAGTGTTGGAAGTTCTGGCCAGGGAAATCAGGCAGGAGAAAGAAATAAAGGGTATTCAATTAGGAAAAGAGGAAGTCAAATTGTCCCTGTTTGCAGATGACATGATTGTATATCTAGAAATCCCCATCATCTCAGCCCAAAATCTCCTTAAGCTGATAAGCAACTTCAGCAAAGTCTCAGGATACAAAACCAATACGCAAAAATCACAGGCATTCTTATACACCAATAACAGAAAAGCAGAGAGCCAAATCATGAGTGAACTCCCATTCACAACTGCTTCAAAGAGAATAAGATACCTAGCAATCCAACTTACAAGGGATGTGAAGGACCTCTTCAAGGAGAACTACAAATGATTGCTCAAAGAAATAAAAGAGGACACAAACAGAATGAAAGAACATTCCATGCTCACGGGTAGGAAGAATCAATATGGTGAAAATGGCCATACTGTCCAAGGTAATTTATAGATTCAATGCCAACCCCATCAAGCTACCAAAGACTTTCTTCACAGAATTGGAAAAAAACTACTTTAAAGTTCATATGGAACCAAAAAAGAGCCTGCATTGCCAAGACAATCCTAAGCAAAAAGAACAAAGCTCGAGGCATCATGCTACCTGACTTCAAACTATACTACAAGGCTACAGTAACCAAAACAGCATGGTACTGGTACCAAAACAGAGATACAGACCAGTGTAACAGAACAGAGCCCTCAGAAATAATACTACATCCTACAACCATCTGATTTTTGACAAACCTGACAAAAACAAGAAATGGGGAAAGGATTCCCCATTTAATAAATGGTGCTGGGAAAACTAGCTAGCCATATGAAGAAAGCTGAAACTGGATTCCTTCCTTATGCCTTATACAAAAATTAATCCAAGATGGATTAAAGACTTAAATGTTAGACCTAAAACCATAAAAACCCTAGAAGAAAACCTAGGCAATACCATTCAGGACATAGGCATGGGCAAGGACTTCATGACTAAAACACCAAACCAAATGGCAACAAAAGCCAAAATTGACAAATGGGATCTAATTAAACTAAAGAGCTTCTGCACAGCAAAAGAAACTACCATCAGAGTGAACAGGCAACCTAAAGAATGGGAGAAAATTTTTGCAATCTACCCATGTGACAAAGGGCTAATATCCAGAATGTACAAAGAACTTAAAGAAATTTACAAGAAAAAATCAAACAACCCCATCAAAAAGTGGGCGAAGGATATGAACAAACACTTCTCAAAAGAAGACATTTATGTAACCAACAGACACATGAAAAAAAGGCTCATCATCACTGGCCATCTGAGAAATGCAAATCAAAACCACAATGAGATACCATCTCACACCAGTTAGAATGGCGATCATTAAAAAGTCAGGAAACAACAGGTGCTGGAGAGGATGTAGACAAATAGGAACACTTTTACACTGTTGGTGGGACTGTAAACTAGTTCAACCATTGTGGAAGACAGTGTGGCGATTCCTCAAGGATCTAGAACTAGAAATACCATTTGACCCAGCCATCCCATTACTGGGTATATACCCAAAGGATTATAAATCATGTTGCTATAAAGACACATGCACATGTATGTTTATTGTGGCACTATTCACAATACCAAAGACTTGGAACCAACCCAAATGTCCATCAATGATAGACTGGATTAAGACAATGTGGCACATATACACCATGGAATACTATGCAGCCATAAAAAAGGATGAGTTCCTGTCCTTTGTAGGGACATGGATGAAGCCAGAAAGCATCATTCTGAGCAAACTATCTCAAGGACAGAAAACCAAACACCGCATGTTCTCACTCATAAGTGGGAATTGAACAATAAGAACACCTGGACACAGGGTGGGGAACATCACACACGGTGGCCTGTCGCAGGGTGGGGGAAGAGAGGAGGGATAGCATTAGAAGAAATACCTAATGTAAATGATGAGTTAATGGATGCAGCACACCAACATGGCACATGTATACATACGAAACAAACCTGTACGTTGTGCACATGTATCCTAGAACTTAAAAAAAAAGAAAAAAAGAGTATAGAACAGAACACCAACACATGGGATATAATTGACATTTACAGTGTACTATCCAATAACATAAGATTATCCATTTTTTAAATATAGCTAAGGGATATTCACCAAGATAACCATATTCTGAGTCATACAACAAACTGACCAATTTACAAGGACTGAAATCATACAAAGTATTTTCTCTGACCATAATGGAATCAAGCTAAAAATTAATAATGGACAAGAAAATCTCCAAACACTAGGAACTTATAACAGCACACTCACAACTAATCTATTTATTAAAGAGAAAAATATATAAAGAGGGAAATAAAAAATACATTGGCTAAATGACATGAAAATACAAAATATCAACATACATAGGATGCAGCTAAAGCACTGCTTAGAGAATTTATAGCACAAAAAACTTGTATTAGAAAAGAAATCTAATCTTTCACCTCAAGAAATGAGACAAAATAAACTCAAAAGAGCAGTAAGAACTAAATAAGGTTAAGTGTAGAAATCAATAAAATTGAAAACAGAATACGTGAGAAAAATCAATGAAAAATGAATATATCATTAAAGATCCCACATTACAGACATTAAAAAAATAATAAAGGGGCGTTACAAAAAACTCAAAAATTTTTTACTGCTTCCCAGGCTTCTGATCAATACAAAAAATCTTTACATACATAAATTCAACAACTTAGAGAAAATGAACCAATAAAAACCACAAACTACCAAGACATTGAGTAATCTCATAATTACTAAATAAACTCACAATTTAAAATAATTTCTGAAAAAAAATCTCCAAGTGCAAATGGTTTCGTTGGAAAATTCTACAACCATTTAAAGAATTAATGGCAATTATGCATAATGTCTTCCAGAAAACGTAAGAGGAAGACAACAGCTTCCAACATATTTTATGAGGCCAGCATTACATTATTAAAACAAAAGCTACTATAGATTTGTATCTTTCCTGAATAGAGAGACAAAAATCTTCAGCAAGACACTGCCGAATCCTATCCAGCAATATATTTAAAAAATTACACACTGAGACCAAGCGGGGTTTATTAAAGAAATGCAAGGATTACTCAATATTTAAAAATCAATTGATGTGACTGCTATGGTTTGAATGTGTCCCATAAATTTCATGCATTGGAAACTTAATCCCCAAATTCATATGTTGATTGGAGGTGGGCCCTCTGTGAGGTAATTTTAAGCTTAGCTAAGTTAATCAGGGTGAAGCCTCCATGATGGGACTGGTGGCTTTATAAGAGACTTGAGATGACACACACTCTTGCCCTCTAGCCATGTGATGTCCCCATTTGTGACACAGCAAGAAGGCCTTCACCAGATGCTGATACCTTGGTCTTGGACTTAAGAACTGTAAGAAAAAAATGTGTTTTCTTTATAAATTACCCAGTCTTTGATATTCTGTTACAGCAACAGAAAATGACTAAGACAGCAATCTACAATATTAACAAGCTAAAGAAAAAAACATATGGTTACTGTGCCAATTGATGCAAAAAAGAATATTTCGAAAAAATAAGAAACTATGGCTAAAAGTCATCTTCAATATTGTTTTATGCCATTTTTTATTTTGTCATTATTAATGTGTATCTGTCAAAAGGAGTTTTTTGAGACAGGGTCTTGCTCTGCTGCCCAGACTGGAGTGCAGTGGCTCACTGCAGCCCTGACCTCCCAGGCTTAAGCAATCCTTCCATCTCAGCCTCCTGAGTAGCTGAGACTACAGGCACATGCCACCATGCCTGGCTCATTTTTGTAATTTTTGTAAAGACAGGGTTTCACCATGTTGCCCAGGCTGGTCTTGAATTCATGGGCTCAAATGATCCACCCACCTTGGCCTTCCAAACGGCTGGGATTACAGGAATGAGCCACCACACCTGGCTAAAAGGACGTTTTATTTAAGTTTGTTAAACTAATTTAAAATTTTAAAATATTTAGAGATCTAGTATGTTGGCTTCCATTTATATTCTTACTTCAGACACCACAAAAACGTTAGAGATAGGTCTGTTTTGCCTTTGCTTGAATAAACAAGAAAAAAATTGGCTTCCAGAACAAGTAAAAATAATCAAACTCTCTCATTTAACAGGAGAAACAGCCATTAAGAGAAAAGTGAGGTGAATGGAAGCTATGGGAAAGATTAAGTATTGAAATATTTAAAAGGGCCTAAAAGATAAAAGTCACCAAGGAATCACTTTTTCATTAAATTAAAGCTTTGCTAAAGTTAATTTTATTCCCAACCATGATGTTCACTGTGTAAAGGTAACATAATATACTACATAAGGACTCAGAAATAGAAAAATACAACTCAAAAATTTATACCAGACCATTAAGATATGAATCAAATTTAAGAACCAGAAAAAAAAAGGTAGTCACAATTTAAAAGTTCTCTATCATCCACAGTAGATCGCCTCTACAGTGCTTCCATATCAGCTGTTTTCCTTATCTCCAATGACTTTCCCAATACTAATAAATATTTTTTCTTATGTCCCATTCTTCACCTCATGATGAATACACCTCTTGCCTTCATAACTATATAAAACTGGTGCTAGTCTCTCCTGGCACTTAATAACACTGGCTTAACTCTTTACACTTTACCAACCAAGTCAAGAGTAACACATCTGGCCATTATAAATCTCAAGGAATGTAAATAACAACTTTTTGTATCTCTAAAATTAATTAGTAATCTTCCTTCTCCGTAGTCAGATATATCCTTAAAACTCCAATCATTTGACATGAGATGAAAAATCAAAACCCAAACAGAAATACATAAGATAACTAAGGAAAAAGCAAACAACATGAAAAGATGCTCATCATTAATCATTTTAGAAACAAAAATTAAACCATAATGGGACAGGACTCCTCATCCACTAAAGGCTAAAATTAAAACGACAGCTAAAAATACCAAGTACTGGCAAGGATGTGGAATACTCTGACCCCCCCAACACACATTGCTGTTGGGAATGTAAAATTTCAGCAAATTCTGAAAACAGTTTAGCAGTTTCTTATACAAACACACTTACTATAATACAACAACCTTAATCTTAGGTATTTACCCAAGACAAATGAAAACATATAACCACACAAAGACTTATATACATATGTTCATAGCAGCTTTATTCATAACAGCAAAAAAACTGAAAACAACTCAAATGTCCATCAACTGGTAAATGAATTAACAAACTGTGGTATAACTATACAATGCAAATACTACTGAATAGAAGATAAAACAGGAACTACCTACTAATACATGTAACAATATCAGTATCTCAAAAGTATTACATTAAGTGAAAGAAGCTGGACACAAAAGACTGGTTATTTGAAATTCTAGAAAAGGCAAAACGAAAAGTGACAAAACGCAGATCAATGGGTTTCGAGGGGATAGAAGTGGGGGTGAGGGATTGACTACAAAGGGGTAAAAGGGAAATTTTTAGGTGATACAAATGTTCTATATCAGCTGGGTGTGGTGGTTCACGCCTGTAATCCCAGCACTTTGGGAGGCCGAGGCAGGTGGATCATGAGGTCAGGAGTTCGAGACCAGCCTGGCCAACATGGTGAAACCCCATCTCTACTAAAAATACAAAAGTTAGCCGGGCATGGCGGCGCGTGCCTGTAATCCCAGCTACTCAGGAGGCTGAGGCCAGAGAATTGCTTGAACCCGGGCAGACGAAGGTTGCAGTGAGCCGAGATTGCGCCATTGCATTCCAGCCTGGGTGACAGTGCGAAACTCCATCTCTGGGGAAAAAAAAGTTCTGTATCAAGATTGTGGTGGTGGTAATTACACTACTATATGTTTGACAAAATTCACTGAATCATATACTTAAATTGGTTAATTTTATTGTATATAATATCTTAAAATTTATTATATATAAAATAATACCTAAAGTTTATATATATCAAAATGGAACAATGGTAACATGATTTACTTTGCTACATTTCCAAATATTGTCCAGGGAGGATGTATTATTTTAAAATCAGAACAAAAATCCCATTTAAAAGCAATTAGCATATTAAAAATATATAAGTATACATGATCACAATGACTTATAAATAAATACAAACTCAGAGCTAAGAACAGAAGGAAATTTACCACTATTTATTTTGGGTAAAGGAGTACTAAAATTCCTCCTAAAGCTTTTGTATAATTCATAACTTTTAGGGGAGGACTTTGTTTTAAAAATGCAGTAATAGAGAATGCCTTGCAACAATTGGTGTAAGTTTATCTAGAGCTTTTGCCCAAATTAATTAATTGGGAAGGCATCACATGTGCTCACTGTTCAACGATGCTTTTGAAAGATTATTCAGTAGTTTAATTTCTTTTGTTTTTTTCCTGAAAGTTTCTGTTTCAGGTTTTTTTTTTAAGAGTTATTCTCTGCATTACTCAAAATGATGAATCAAACAGATTTTCCTTCTTAATTTAATGTCTTATTCTTTAAAATCCACTAAAGAACAAACAGTTCTTAGACCTGGAATGTATTTTCTACTCAGTAATGCCCTATTTTGTAAACAAAAGAAACAGAATGTAAGTAGCACCTTGGATTAAAATGTCCAACCTAATCAGCTGTGCAGAAGACATAAATTGGAGGTAACAATAACTGCTTTAATCTCTGTGAATGCCTCATCAATTAAATAATTCCTCAGGAACATTTTCCCCATTCATATGGGAATTACATACTGGTTTGCAAACACAGAACCAACTAATAATCTTTTTTACAGAATCTCTAAATCCTTTCTTCCAAGACCATTTTGGCCAACTGACTGGATTTAAACTGGATAATAAAAGTAAGGGAAAAAAAAGCACAAACAGAAACTCTTACAGAGCAAGAAAGACCAGATGGTCACCTCGACGTTAGAGGCAAAACCAGTATGCTCTAATATTGTGACATGACTCTAATGCCAGCATTCAATGACAGACAGATCACTTTTAGAAGAACAGCCAAGATAAAGGATTTGAGACATAACAGGTAACACACATTCCCAGGATTGGGAGCAGTACCTGAACAAGTGCTGTTAATGGATCACTGTAGCATTATCAATACATCCCAGTCATTGTATGATACTATTAACTCTTTCGGTTTCCTTGCATTTATTGGAAGGCACATTAAAATTTGCATTCTTTGGAGTGCAGCAAGATGCTTTTCCTGTTTCTTTCTGCAGCATGTCCAGCACTTTTACACCTTCTGTCAGACAAATAGGTTAAAACTCTTACATTGCAAAATCAAGAGTATAATACTCAGTGATGGATAGTGTATGTTTCTGATTAATACCCTTTTTGCCAAGTTAAAAATACCCTACTAGGGACCGGGTGCAGTGGCTCATACCTGTAATGTCAGCACTTTGGGAAGCCAAGGCGGGCAGACTGCTTGAGCACAGGAGTTTTGAGACCAGCCTGGGCAACATGGTGAAACGGTGTCTCTACAAAAAATACAGAAATTAGCTGGGTGTGGTGATGCATGCCTATAGTCCCAGCTATTTGGGAGGCTGAGGCAGAAGGATCACTTGAACCCAGGAAGTCGAGGCTGCAGTGAACCAAGATCACACCACTGCACTCCAGCCTGGGTGACAGGGCAAGACACTGTCTCCAAAAAACAAAAAACAAAACAAAACAAAACAAAAAACCAACAAAAAACTAACAATATCCTATTAAAAGTGGCTTAAACAATTGAAGGGTTTTTATTATATCAACATAAGTCCACATGTAAAGCAGCTCTAGAATGGGTTAATTCTGAAGCTTACCGGCATTATCAAAGGCTCTGGTGAGTTCTATCTTTCCACTGAGCTAACCTCAGTCTGAGTCCGTGTCTCCTTGTGATCATTAGTTGGCTGCAGCAGTTCCAACTATCAGAGTCAGAAAAGACAATGTCCAGAGAGAGCAGGATTTCCTCCTCTAAGCCTATTAGTGAGTAAAACATTTTTCAGACACCCCCTTGAAGATCACTTCTCAGCTGCCATTCACTAGGACATGTTTATGTACTCATGCCTTATCAATTACTTATAAGGGGGATAAGACCACATGTGATTCATTTAGAACAGCAGGATTCACCCTTAGGGAAAGGGTCCAACATACCTGGACACAGAGCTGCACAGAAGGGAACACCAGAATAAGCAAGCAAGAAGGGAGGGACAAAATAGTTGCTGGCCGGCAACCAACAGTATTTATCACAATCTGATAGGGCTGAAAATGTACAGCATGTGTTGTTACACTATTCCTTGGCGAAGAAGATAAGTAGCAATAAAATAAAAAGTGTAATATAATAGATTGTTAGACATTTACGAAAATATTTCAGGGACAAATAACAACTAAGATTCAGAGAGTACAGGCACTAGCCTATGTGCTTTACATGTATTAATGTACTTCATCCTCACAACTGTTACATGTACAGTTGTCCCTCAGTATCTGTGGGGGACTGGTTTCCAACCCCAACCCCTCAAATACCTAAATCCATGGATGCTCAAGTCTTTTATAATAAAATGGCGTAGTATTTGCATGTTACCTAGGCACAACCTCCCATATTCTTTAAGTCATCTCTAGATTATTTATAATACCTAATACAATGTAAATACTATATAAATAGCTGTTAAACTGTATTGTTTAGGGAATGACAAGGAAAAAAGTCTGCACATGTTCAGTATAGACACAACCATCCTTTTTTTCCCCAAATATCTTCTATCCACAGTTGTTTGAATCCACAGATGTGGAATGCATGGATATGAAGGGCCAACTGTATCTTACAAGATAAGGAAAAAGGAGAGAAGCCAAGACACTGACTAACTGACAGAGCTGAGACTGGAACTGAGGTAATCAGGCTCCAGACCGTGCTCTCAATTGCTGTATTATGAGGCACAGGGTGATATAAAAAGGGCACGTGTTTTAAAAATAGTAAAAATATCAAATGAACCAAGCCATAGGTGAAAATGTAGAAACCAATCCAAGAGGTTGGCTGAGATTTAACATTGTACATTTTATTAAATACTGGACTTTATTACAACAAATTAATTTACTTCCGATAGAAGTTTCATTTTAAAAAATGTGGTTGTGTTCAAATTCTTAATTGACACTTGTTTTGGGGTAAACATCCTATTTTTACTGGTGGTATCATCAATCATTATGAGCAGAAAGATTAATTTTGTATAACAGAACAAAGGAATTTCTCAAGTGGTACAATACTCAATATATATAAAGGGAATATACTCCCAAAGAGTGGGCATGACCACAGCAGAGTATATGATCAGAGAACATATTGCTTTTATGGTATATATATATATATATATATATCTCTACATATAACATCAAGTCATGCACATTAAGTCTTTACTACCTACTGAAGGCTTCTACCTTACACATGAAAATTGTTCATGTCCCAGGGTTTGGCATCCAGCCAAAATTTAAACAATGATGAAGAATGGCTGTCAAACTGGCTTTTCAGACCACCCCTGAAAAGCTGTCAGCTGTAATATCCATCCTGGAATCGTGGCGGAAAGTTCCTGGGAGTTGCCTTTTCCTGTGTTTTGATCAAGTCTATAATAGCTGACAGTACTGCACAGTCTCTGGATTTAGTGTCATTCCAGTCTACAGGATGAGGACTTTCAATCTTCTCTTGCAGAAGAATATCTAGTTCCTTTCTTAATTCCTAAGGTTGGAAAAATTATACATGTTCAACAAAGGCAGATATATTACCAAATAACATAATAAATGAAACTAATTTACCTGATACAAGGAGTTTCACAAGCGATGGCTCAAAAGCTAAAACATTTAGTGAGCAATCAACTAAAGTGTGGTTATGAGTGAATAACTAAAGTGCAGTTAAAATTCACACTGCAATCACACTGAGCCATTTAGAATGGCTGGTCTGTTACCACCTCAAAACACAATTCAGAAAAACCAGGAATCATTTTTTCAAAATTATTTGCTCTGCTGAAATAGAGCAAGAAATGTTAATCTATTTAACAGTTAGAACAAAACCACATGACCACATGCTGACTTACATGTAGATTTAAGATAATCACATAAAGTCAGTCACCTTAACAAGATGGGCAATTCTTGCTGGAGACTGAAATACAATCCACTCATCTACAGCAATAGTTTCCTGATCGTTATCCTTCTGGATGGAAATGTCACCTCCAAAAAACAAGAGACAGTATGGGGAAACCTCTGTGCAGTCATACAAGTATATCTGTAATGAAAATTAAAGTGAATTAATACATTCAGGAGTCTGAAAAGATTACTATATAAATTCAACAATATTACCAGTATTAATTAATGAGTATCTTCCTTCTAAAATATTAACCTTCTATTGTAATTACAGAGATTTGTAAGAAATACCATTTTAAATGAGCCATCTTCATTATTCAGAGAACATAGGTATTTTAATATTTTTTAGTTTAAACTAAGCACTACTCTGAACAAAATATTTTCTGAGTGACAAAAGCAAAACACTAATGTTGCCGAAGTTATTTTTATCCAGTTTTTTATAAATCATCTCAAATTACTGTTCTAAAGAGAAAAATATAAATAAACAGAATCTCAACATGCTGAACAATACTTATAAGGTATACTGACATGCTAACAAAACTTTCTATACAATGTAAACTCCTGTACACCATAAAATATGCCAATATTTCTTGAAAGCAAGTTCTGAAAGAAAATTATGCAATCAAATAACTGTCCTAACTAATTAAAATACAAAGATCCATCATTACAGACCTGAAAATTAAAAGAATAGGTTATTTGTTAGAGGGAAAAAGTTACTCACGTCACAGGAATAAGACACAACAAAAAAAAAATTTTGTATATAATTGTTAAAACTACACAATCATAAAAATACAATGAGACTGATAATCAGATCCTTAATTATTTTAAATGTTCACTTACACTGCTTGTTCTCATCTTTAGGTGATAGATAAGCCAGTTGTAGTGAAAGTCTGTTTGCTCCACATTAACAGATTTAGGATGAACAGCAACCAGGCCATCGGTTTTTGTGTAAACTTTTACCCTTTAAAAAAAGTTAAAATGCAGTTTGTTAAAAAGAAGTCTTCTAGAGGATTTTCTTTTTTTACACTACTTGAAAAACTGATAGAAGAGCTTGGTAAAAACCAAACAAATCCCGGAATCTAAAAAAATTCCAGAGAATAATTCAGTTTATTTTTGCAAAAAAATATATTTATATTTGAGGACAGAGCATAATTTCCTTAAAAATATATGAAAAAATGCTATCAGTATGAATAATTTAAATCATGTAACTAATCTTCTTCTTGCAGGTATAATTACTCAACATTTTAGAAAAATGGCAGAATATTCTTTTCCTTAATGTTAATGCACACTATACCACTGAAGAATAAATAACAAAAAAGTACCTAAAATAATTAAGTGATTCATACCAAGAGTTTATACATTTTACTATGACAATCATAATACTGATAAACAGCCCTTGATTTACAAAATAACTGTAAAATTATCAACTTAAAAATTTTACAGAGTATGACCCAGATGAATAAAAAATGAAAAGTTAAGAATTCTGTTTAAATTCATGTTGACAGTTCTAATTCAATCTCTCAATTCCTAGGTCATTTTTTTTTTGATAGTCATACACATTTTATCTCAATTTGTAAAAGTCTTTAGTATTATTCAACAGGGAGATGTTTAATAATTTATTTTTAAATAGTTAATGTTAATTACCTGTATTAACTAACAGCATAAAAGCTAATAATCCACTAATCTTTCCTATTTGTTTTTACGAGTGTCTCTTTCGAAGTTTTTTTTTTTTTTTTTGAGACGGAGTCTTGCTCTGTCACCCAGACTGGAGTGCAGTGGCCCAATCTCAGCTCACTGCAGCCTCCGCCTCCCGGGTTCCGGCGATTCTCCTGCCTCAGCCTCCTGGGTAGCTGGGATTACAGGCATGTGCCACCACCATACCCAATTAGTTTTTGTATTCTTAGTAGAGATGGGGTTTCACCACGATGGCCAGGCTGGTCTCAAACTTCTGACCTCAGGTGGTCCGCCTACCTTGGCCTCCCAAAGTGCCAGGATTACAGGTGTGAGCCACCACACCCGGCCACTTCTGAAGTTCTAAGAATTCATAAGACTTGTAATCAAAATCATGAATCATGGTTATGAATTTACAGTTTTAAATACTTAGAATAAAACCAGAAATTATTTTTTCTCACTTCAAGTCAATTTACCAATGCCATCCTGCCACCCTGCATAACTAGAGCAGTAGAACTTCACAAATTTCTTTTTTCTTTTTTTTGAGACAGGGTCTCGTTCTGTCACCCAGGCTGGACTGCAGTAGCATGATCTCTCAACGTGCAGTGGTGTGATCTTGACTCACTGCAACCTCCACCTCCTGGGCTCAAGTAATCTAACAGCCTCAGCCAACCAAAGTGCTAGGATTACAGGTGTGAGCCACTGTGCCTGGCCCAGCAAATTTCTATACAGGACCAGAGAGTAAATATTTTAGGGTCTATATTTGGGGCTCTATAATTTCTGTCCAACTCTGCTAGTGTAGAAGGAAAGCAGAATAGACAACATGAAAACAACATGTTTGTGTTCCAACAAAAAAAGGACAAAAACAAGTTTTTGGCCTATAGGTCAAAATTTGCTGACCCCTAGTCTGGACCAAAACAATGCACCAGTCCAAAGAAAACTACATTTTTTCAGAAAGCCCTCCCAGGATGGCAGAGAGGAAAATAAAATGAATTTCAAAGTGACTCACTGTTAAGCTACCTGTAAAGTTAGGTACACACATACAAAAAAATTTCTGGCCAAGTATTATTTTGAAAAAGTACTTAGGTCACTTAAAATGTGAATAATCCAACCACAATGATTAAAATTCATCAGCTACCCATTACTTTATACCTTGGAATAGGGTTTCTTGACTTTAGTACTACTGACACACTGTTATGACAACCACAAGTATCTCCAGACACTTTCCAATGTCCCCTTTGGGGGCAAAATCATGCCAGTTGAGAACCACTGCCCAAGAACAATGTCTGCACTTTGGCCTATCTTTAAAGTCTTTATTTTTTCATGTTTATAATTCTAGAATATCCAACTTTCATTTAACATCAGTTTAAATACTTTACATGTTACTACACAATGACTGTTTTAATGCCCACCTATGGAGATGCATTACAGTATTATAAAACCACAATTTTCCCATGGCTACTAGAAATCTATATTATTTACAATATAGCTGTTAGAAAACATTTGAAATTACTTCCTTAAGACACATCTATCAAATTAAAAACTCATGCACTGGGTCACTGACTATTTTAATGATTCAATCATAATTCTAATACAGAGTGTCTTCCAAAATAGCAGCAACCACACTACTGGCCATTTGTGACTCTTAGTTTCTCTGTATCCTTTAGCTAGAATGAGCTCATTCTAGCTCATGCTTCACTGTTGTCTCCAATTACTACTGAGGCTACCTGTAAATATATTATTACACTTTATTTCTCAAAATAGTGAAATCACAATGTTATTCAAAGAGCTAAGTTATCCATTTATAAGGCAAGAGGAAAAAAGTTTCTGAAATAAAATCTACTCTAAGCAATTTTTATCCAGCCACTGGTATTTACTAGCAGGCTGGCTCTTCTAATATTTACACTGGTATCATGTGGTAGCATTCTTTGTGAATAATGGGTTATCAAAGAGGTGATTCCAGGATGTGTTGTGAGGGAAAGTGATACCAATGGCTAAACAGTTCACCTTCTCTGAAATGATTAAAAGAACAAGAATATAACCCACATATGAATAAGAACAAATTTATAATATAAGCCTTGTTACATGAGCAGATTTCAAAAGTTTAAGAAGAGAATTACGAGTAATTAATAATAATCTTCAATGCTTACATTTTTCTTTTTTTACCCAAATTTAGTCGAATTTTAGCAACTTTGGGATATAAACCAGCACAGATGACAGCTTTAATTATCTTCTCATTATCTATGGGGGGTGAGAAGGTAGAGGGGAAAAGAAAAGTAAAATACTGATACAATAGACAAAAGATACTTATTTACACTGTGTTTCCTGCTGTACCTGAATTTATATTAGATTCTGGATCTTTAGGATTTCTACTGCTTACAAATCCAGCTCCAAGAAGATGCTCAGCAAACTGTCCTTTCATGTTATGCAGCATCTAGGGAGCAATGGTAACAAATAGAACTAGAATACCTTTCACACATTGAGGCTATAAACCATACACTAATAGATAAATTGAGTTGTAAGCTATCCCTGCTTTATGAAAACACTTTAGCAAACATGTTTTAAAGCAAGGGTTGGCAAACTACAAAAGCTGTTTTTGTCAATAACATTTTATTGGAACACAGCCACACCCATTCATCTACATTTGGTTGTTTTTGCACTACAATGGCAGAGGTCAATGCTTGTAACTGAGATCTTATGGCCTGTAAGCCTAAAATATTACCCGACTTTTCACAGAAAAAGTTTGCATGTTGTAAGGAATAGCCACTGATGTTTAAGGATTACTCTATTTTGTGAAAGACTAATAGAATTTTTAAAATTACTTTCCACCCCCATTTTTTAAAAAATATAGAAAAGCATAAAGAAAATAATCCACATCCATATTTCTATTACTGAGAATTAAATATGGTTAAAAATGGCAGGTAAGCTTAAGGTTTTGTTTTTTTTTTAAATAATGATACATGGCTTATTACAAAGCATTCAAGTAACATAGAAAAGTACTTCCCTTGCCTCAATACTCAGTCTTCTAAATAAATAAGATTGCAGACACCCATTAAGTATATATACTGATAGAAGAAATGCATCCTAATAACAGAATCATAGTATAGAAATTCTTTATAAAACAATTAACTTTAGTACAATTTAAAGAAAAGTTAAATAGAAAGGAAAGTGAATGACCAGATGAATCTTGTATTTTCATAACAGAAATATTTCCTAAGGAATTCCTTTTAGAGATTATGAAACATAAAGTTGGTTATATTTAAGTATATATCCCTTTTATGAAAGGTGTGACTTTCCCCACCTAATTTTTCTGACACCTGACTTTCTTAGACACCTCCTGGTTTTTACTGCCATTATTTTATACTGTTCAGGATAATAATCTTTACATTCTATTTTGCATGTGTAATTCCTAACACCATTTTGTTATTAGCTCTATATTTAAATACTTCTAATGTATATACACCAGCTGATTAAGCATGCACTCTCCATTCCTGAAATCTCCACTGTGATTCCCCTTTTAACTAACAGCATTTCACCGTCAATGGGCTTTTCAAGAAGAGCTCAGGGGTACAGTATTTCTTGAATGCCTGTTGTTTTTCTTTACACCTGAATTCATATCCTGACTGGACATGACATTCTCAAACACTTGGATTCAGTTATGTTTTCATGCTTCTGTTCACTTCTCTGTTCATTTCATTATTTCCATTTCAAAACGTGTTCTTACATACATCTCAAAATAAACGTTCAATTACACAGGATTTGTATGCAGACACTAATGTCTACTGTTCTCATAATGGATGAGTCCTGTCTTCCTGTCTTTAAGATTTTACTTATTGCTTTAATTTTTGTCTTTTTCAGGTACCTCCATAAACTGTGATTACTTCAAGCTTTTTTCCTATGGCAATAACTTGTTTTTAAGGGGTGTCCATTCTGTTCCTTGTGATTTCTTTTGATCTTCAATTTGTTTTCTTAGCTCAGGTGTCTTTTCATTCACTCTACTGTTTATTTTCTAACCTATGTTTTGCTGAATTCATATTCTTATTAGCTATTCCATATTATGAAACAGTTTAAAGGTGTTTTCTACTGAAACATGGCATTCCACTCTTTTTTTTTTCTTTTCCTTTCCTTCCGAATTGTGGTGATCCTTTTTTTCCATTTTGCTAATGACTGGGCACTTCTGATTTGGTATGTTAGATTTTTTTGTTTACTAATTTGTAGATCTGTTAAATGTCCAGTATCAGGCCTCATGTCACATAGCTGGAGTGTATGTGTACTGGGAGAAGATGAGGATATTTCTATTCTCACTGGCTTCGAATACCCAGTTCAGTGTAGTCTGAAATGTGATGGCATATGCCCTCTTTACTGTTTTCTTCTGTTTTACAAATGCTTGCCTGTGGTGTTTCACTATACTAAACCAGAAAACTTACAGATATCTATCCTATTTGATACTTTTCAACAGATTTTAGTAGTGTTAGCAAAAATTCTCAGTTTGAATCATCAAAATAGCAACTAGAATGTGGGGACAGGAACAGAAATCGAACCCTACTGTGCCTTGCTCTTATCCTCTGGAACCATGTTTCTTTTCCTTGTTTTGTTGCAGTTGATTTCAGAAAGATCCCCCATTACTTTGTGTATATATACAAATATACTCAATTTCCATATATTTGACTTTTTTGCTATAGATCTAATTGTACAAAATGGATGTATATATTCTCTAATCTAGCATATATGATAATTACTGCAAAACATTCACCATTACCTGCAGTGTGTTTGAAGACAGAAAATATTCCCAGCAATAGTCCTTTTCGTATCTGAAACCACGTCGCCTAGCCTCTTCCCAGCCCTATGGGGCAAAGAAATGAAGAAATCTATATTTCTCCCGCAAACAAAGATTACTACTGGTTTCCCTCTTTACTTTAGTAAAAGCTTAATATTCTACTAATATTTAATTTTCTTTGTAAAAAATTCAAAGAATTTTATAACTGATAAAACTAAAAACACATACACTCCCCATGATCCTAGTCCTTAAGAGACAACCACCACTGAAGTTCCAGACCTTTATACAATTAAGTATATAGTAATATATTAATTATGTATTTTACACAAAATGGCATCCAAACTGTACATAATACACTAATCAAAAAGAACACACTATTAAACTGACTTAAATGCTATTATATATTTTCAAATTCACAGATTTTCTTTATAGTTTGCTTTTTTTTTTAAGAGGAGGGAAATGGGGAAAAAGGAAAGACAAGCTGAATAAGCTCAAAGACAAAAAAACATGAACTTTCCCATAATATGTCACATGAAACAGAATGTAGAGCCACAGAAAAAAGATACTGCCTCTAAAAACCAAATTACATTTAAATTTTACCAAGATAGGTGATAAATGTTTACCCTCAGATACACGTGGCTTTTGGGAGCAGAAAATGTCTCTTTAATCTGAATTATGTACATGATTATGATCCTCTATTACATGTTAAATCTGAATACAGGGTAGTTTATTAATGAATAGAAAGAGACTGTCATTAGCGTTAATAAGCCAAAGATACAAAGAAATTATTAAATACAAAATTTTAAAATAAACTATTCACTTGTTCATTCTTACCAAAAACTATTATTTCCCCAAAACGGTAAATGTAATGAACTATTACAAAATTAAAAATGAATTATAACTTTTTTCAAATGTTCAGCTAAATTTCAACATTCTCAGTAATTTACTCCTGATACCTATGATAATATAGATTTTGGTTTTTTGGTTTTTTTGAGATTGAGTCTCACTCCATCGCCCAGGCTGAAGTGCAGTGGCATGATTTCAGCTCACTGCAACCACCGCGCCCCGGAGTTCAAGCAATTCTCCTGCCTCAGCCTCCTGAGTAGCTGGGATTACAAATGCCCACCACCACACACAGCTAATTTTTGTATTTGTAGTAGAGACAGGGTTTCGCCATGTTGGCCAGCCTGGTCTCAAACTCCTGACTTCAGGTGATACACCTGCCTCAGCCTCCCAAAGTGCTATGATTACAGGCATGAGCCACCGCGCCCGGCCTTATAACAGAGATTTCAAAAGGTTAAATATGATCCTTATTCTATTATTAGCATTTCATTTGAATAAACTATCATAATCCAGGACAAAATTTTTTTTTTTTACCTCAAACGCATTCACAACTGTTAAGTGATCACTTCTAGTATCCTTTGCCAATTCCTTTCTTCTTGCATCTGCAATCTTTTCTTTTCCCTTAAAAATAGCAGACATAGCCAATTTAAATTGCTCTGATGCTATAATGGAGAATGACATTCTAATAAAACGCTAATGAAAAATATATCTAAGCAACTCCTGTTCACATCTAAAATAACTCGGTTTTATTTCCATTTTTCTTACCAGTGGAATGACAAATGGATCTTTGAAACTGAGACTAGCAGCAATAGTGAGTACTGGGTCTAAGCAGCAGAACAGTGCTCCAAAAAGAATCATTTTTCCAATATGTGGCTCAACGGGTAATCGTGCCAAGTGGACTCCAAGAGGTGTCAATTCTTCTTGTTTATCCAAAGCGTTCTGTAAAGGAAGAGTGTGTGTTTAAAATAGATCCTGTAAAGCATTACATTTAAAACGATTTTAGCTTGCTTTAAAAAGAGTAACAAGCCACTACTCTCTCTTCTAAGTCCAAATGCCCAAATATTGTTCAGCTTTAGTTTTCCCTACCAAAACATAAGTTGTGAGGTCAGCAAAGGTTACAAACTTATTTAAACATAACCAAAATTAACACACAACTTGGCTTTTCTGTGTTGAGAGAAATACCAGAAATGACAAACTTTCTGTTAAATAAAGTCACCTAATAAAGTATAAAAGTTGTAGAAACAAACAACAAAAACAAAAGATACACTATTATACATCTGGAATACATAATGCACACTCTCTAGATTCTAGTAGTTTAGGTGACGCGAGACAGAAAAGCAAAAGAAAAAGGAACTATCTAAAACCACAGAAAATGGGAGTGACTTCTGCTCTGATTCCCTAGGTCATCTGGTCCAACCACCCCACTGTGGACAGCTAGAAAAGTAGCCTGAAGATACAAGGAGTTAACAAAGAATTGTAAATCAAGAGGTTAGGGAATGAGAGACATCTAGGGGAGGTGAGTGCAGAGGTTGGGGCCTCTTTTCCTGGCAGAAAGGAACATAAAACCTTGCTGAAAAAAAGCTACCCTCATCCCAAGCTTCAAATTTTTATCTATAAAGAATTTTGTAAACAGAATTTCCAGTGCACAATTAAAATAACTAGGCATATAGATGCAAACAAGAAATAATAATAAAAGAACCCATAAGCATCCCATCAGACACAGATTTTTACTAAACAGTTTTGGAGAAAATACACTTAATTTTTTTTTTTTTAAAAGACCTCTTTCAAATAAAAGAAATGTAAAACCCTCAACTTGTTTTCTGAACCTAGAATAGCTTGATATCTAAATCTTACAAGGACATCTGAAGAAAACTAAATAAACTTACATATGAAAATCACAAAACAAAATAATGGCAAATTGAATGCTGGCAAGTTAGGTTTACTCTAAAAAGAAAAATTTGTTTAATATTTGAAACATCAGTTTAACTGAATACATGAACCAACTAAAATAGTCATACCATAATCTCATCAGAAGCAGAAGATATTTGATAAAACTGATTATCCATACAAGATAAAAATGTCTTAGTAAACTTAACGTAATAAGAGCTTCCACACACCAAAAAAAAAAAAAAAAAAAAAAAAAACACCAACAAACACTTTACTCTCAATGATTTGCTGATAGCTTCTCCTTTAAGAAGAATAAGACAAGAAGGCACACTATCATATCACTTCTGCTCAACATTGTATTAAGGGTCCCAGAAACTTAAAAAAGAATAAATAAAACTCTAATTATTTAAAGATGTGATAATATATGCAGAAAAAAATCTACATGAAGTTATTTGAATAAGGGGACTTTACAGCATTAATGAATACAATCATTCAAAAAGCAACTTTATTTCTGTATTATCAGACTCGAAAGATGATGAAATATTTAAAAGCAGAATCCAAAAATACCACTAACCTAGAAGATTAGTGGTATTTTTGGATTCTGCTTTTAAATATTTGAAATCTAAATTTTAAAAAATCTAAATAAAGACATATAAAACCCCAAAGAAAACTCTAAAATACTGAGACTGAATACCCAAATAAACAGAGGAATAGATGATGATCTTTTTGCTAAGACTCAATACTGTAAAGATGTCAGTTCTCCCCAAACTGATTTATAGATGGAATTCAATCAAAATCAAACTCCAAAGATTCTCAAATGTATTTGGAAAAACAAATCACCAAGAAGGACCAAGACACTCTGTTTTAAAAAAATTTACTATTATTATTTTTTTTTTAAGAGATAGGGTCTTGTTCTGTCATCTGGGTTGGAGTGCAGTGGTGCAAGCACAGCTCACTGTGTCCCTCAAACTCCTGGGCTCAAGCAGTCCTCCCACCTCAGTCTCTAGAGTCAAGACGTTTTTGAAGAAGAATGAAAGGGAGTGATTTGTTCCACTAGAAAACAAGATTTATCATAAAGCTAGAGTAATTAAGGCAATGTGATACCAGCTCAGGAGAGAAATACAGGCCAACAGATGAGAAATAAGCCTAGAAACAGACACACAAATCCACAGACATTGACCTATCAAAGACTGCAGAACAAGGACAAAAAGAGATGAACTTTTCTATAAATGGTGCTCAGTCAATGCTCTACATTTATTTATAAAAACTTTTATTTCTACCTCAACCCCAACACACATCAACTGCAGATGCATTATAAACAAAACAGTAAATTTTTTTTAAATGTATCTTTATGACCTCAGGAAAAGACTTATTAAAGTGTAAAAAGCAATAACCTTTGAGAATGATACATCTTACTGCATTAAAATTAGGAATTTAGACTGGGAGTGGTGGCTCATGCCTATGATCCCAGCACTTTGGGAGGCTGAGGTGTGCGGATCACTTGAGGTCAGGAGTTCCAGACCAGCCTGGTCAACATGGTGAAACCCCATCTCTACGAAAAATACAAAAATTAGCCAGACATGGTGGCAGGTGCCTGTAATCCCAGCAGGAGGCTGAGGCAGGAGAATCGCTTGAATCTGGGAGGTGGAGGTTGCAGGCTGCAGTGAGCCGAGATCATGCCACTGCACTCCATCCAACCTGCGTGACAGAGTGAGACTCTCTCCAAAAATAAAATAAAATAAAATAAAATAAGGAATTTATCAAGGTATTAAAAAAAGGAAAGTTGAAAACAGATATGCAATATACAACCAATAAAAAGCGCAGATCAAGAGTACAAAAGGACTGTATGATCTGCAACCTAACAGAAGACACTAGCAATTTATGAGAGACTACACAAATGGATAATAAACATAAAAGCTGCTGAAAACTTCAATGACAGTCATAGAAATGCAAATTAAAACCACTACATACCTACCAGCATGGTTAGAATAAAAGGCCAATTAATAAGAAAGGTTGGTGAAGCTACAAAGCAATGGGAACTCTCATCCACCACTGGTAGGAGTTTAAGTGGTTTGCAACCATGGAAAACTGTTGGGCGTTATCTACCCAACTTGATCATACATGTACCTTATAACCCAGGACGTGGAGGTTGCAGTGATCTGAGATCATGCCAGTATACTCCAGCCTGGGTGACAAAGTGAGACTCTGTCTCAAAAAAAAAAAAAAAAAAAAAAGAGGAAAAAGAAAAAAAACCATAGCTAAAGCAACAATACATTTGAATCTCATAATATTAAGTGAAATAATCCAGAGCTCTGCTCCCTCAAAGAACAAAAAAACCACACACATTCTGTATGGGTTCATGTAAAGTTCACAAAATAGGCAAAACTGAACTCTTTATGAAGATGCATACTTGTAAAAACCATCAAAAAAAAAAATCAAGCCATTATAGTTAAAGTCATGATAGAGGTTATCTATCATGATTGGGATTAAGGGACAGTGGAGTGATTATGAGAGGGTAGGAAGGGGGCTTTTAGCATACTGGGAATGTTCTTCTTGATGTAAGTAATTACTACATAGTCCTTCCTTTGTGATAAATCATTTAGCTGCATATTTGTTTTACTCGCCAGTAATTAAAGACCAGTAACTTAAAAATTTCAAATTTTATGTAATCTTAAATCAAGCCTACAATAAAAAAAAATGTGCAAAAAGATCCTAGTCTTTTAAGAATTATTACGAAGATATCACTTTATAACTTTCTAATGCCTATCTCATAACCTGATAGTTCTAAATTGATAGTCAAATAGCCAATCAAATTTGGCATTGGACATTATTGGTCTACTTTGCAGTAATGAGAGTAAACATTATAATTAACTGGTTTACATGCTGTAGTATTCTAAGTTAGAATTAAAAAAACAAGAAAACAAATTTACCAGCTCCATCAGGTGTCTTATGGAGAGTAACACTGCCTCATTTGATGGTGGGTCCATTAATCTACTCAGAAAATAAGCAATTCCACCTAGCCTTAAAATCTAAGTGGGGGAGACAAATATTATTAAATACATATAATATTAATATATTAGCATTACAACTTAGTCCTACCTGGGCTGATGACTCAAAGCATCAAATTTATACATGACTTTCAAGTTATTTTACCAAAATGAATTAAAATTATATTTGTATTTCTATAAAAACATGTTTAAAGTCCTATATATATTACTACTTTCTACCATCAACTCTATTAATAGGAAAAGTAGCTGGCTAAAATCTCAATGAACAAGTTGATTACCCACTATCTTCAAAAGTAGCTGGCTAAAATCTCAGTGAACAAGCTGATTACTCACTATCTTCAAAACAAGTCTAACTATATCAAAAGACACAAGATACTGAAATAAGTAGTTTATAATGAAGGATAACATGTTAACATGTAATAACAGTAGCTACTGTTTACTAAACACTTACCACGTGCCAGGCACTGTTCTAAGGATTTTAGGAGGTTAATTTAAACAACCTGCCCAATATAACAGAACTAGCTTTTCCGGGGTAGAAGCAGGATTCAAACACAGGCAGCCTGCCTCCTCTAGAGCAGTATATAATTTAAAAGTGTTGAATATACATTTGAAGGAAGTTTAAACACACAATTTACTAATGCACACATGAAATAAATTGTGAGTTAATAATTGTTTCTTGGAGATTAATACAGTACTTTGTTCTACAAAAGATGTTGAAAATGAGATCACTTCCATTTAGTTTCTTCATTCTCCCACCTAATTTACCTTTATTTGTAAACAAAGTTCTTCCAAAGGAGTTCTCAAAATTTCTGGCAGTTGATAGTCATCTAGAAGACTTGCTCTAAGACCATTATACAGATGATAGCAATGACCAGGTTGAACTCTTAAAAAAAAAACAAAACAAAATGAAACAAAGAGGGACAGTCATCAATGACTTTTTAGAACTGCAGAGAAAATACTAGGCAGGGAAGTAGCCAATATCAATTTCTTACATGCCACATAATAGCTAATGTACGTAATTATTTTTTCCTTTTTATGAATCATGTATTTCTTCTGTTTAGAAAAACGTTATACCCTCTACCCTCATCACAGTTTTAAGAAAGATACACAGTAATTCCTCCCCATGCCAATAATTTGCTTCCCTATTTCTGACAGATTCCAAATTACTGTGCTCAGTAACAGCAGTCTACCTAGGTTAAGGTTAAGAATAGTAACGTCAAGTATGCCTTGTGATCAATCTTATTATGTAATGAATCCTGGCATTATGCTAACCTGTCTATATTACTGAAAAACATTTTAAGTACTATATATTTAGTGAGTTTTCAGAGGGATATTAAAAGTTTCTGTTTTATGTATGTAACTAGAGCCATGAATGATATCATTTTTTGAACAATGATAAGACTAGATGTAGGCCGGGCGCGATGGCTCACACCAGTAATCCCAGCACTCTGGGACGCCGAGGTGGGTGTATCACCTAAAGTCAGGAGTTTGAGACCAGCCTGGCCAACATGGTGAAACCCCATCTGTACTAAAAAATAATACAAAAAATTAGCTGGGTGTGGTGGTGTGCTCCTGTAGTCCCAGTGGGAGGCTGAGGCAGGAGGATCACTTGAACCCAGGAGGCAGAGGTTGCAGTGAGCCAAGATCGTGCCATGTACTCCAGTCTGGTGACACAGCGAGACTTCATCTCAAAAAAAAAAAAAAAAAAAACTAGATGTGAAGAGGTGACCATATTCATGTATTCTCAAGTAGAAGAGATATTTCTTTAGGCTCTTGCTGCTATAGGAACAAAAATGAATTCTAAAAATCTTAGTTATTTTTTCCATGAGTCTACATAGACCCACTGTCTATTATATAATATACCTCAATATCTCTCCAGTAGAAACTAAAATAAGAGTACCTCCATTGAGGCCGGGCGCGGTGGCTCACGCCTGTAATCCCAGCACTTTGGGAGGCCGAGGCGGGCGGATCACGAGGTCAGGAGATCGAGACCATCCCGGCTAAAACGGTGAAACCCCGTCTCTACTAAAAATACAAAAAAATTAGCCGGGCGTAGTGGCGGGCGCCTGTAGTCCCAGCTACTTGGGAGGCTGAGGCAGGAGAATGGCGTGAACCCGGGAGGCGGAGCTTGCAGTGAGCCGAGATCCCGCCACTGCACTCCAGCCTGGGCGACAGAGCGAGACTCCGTCTCAAAAAAAAAAAAAAAAAAAAAAAAAAAGAGTACCTCCATTGAAAGCCACATACTATAGCTTTTTCTGATCTCCAAAATAATAAGGTTTGCAGAAGGAATTTTTATCCATGGAGCCTACAAAAGACTGTTTTCCTTTTAAATTAAAACAGCAATTCCACAGTTAACCTACCGCACAGGAGTGAGGACGAAGGATTAGTATTTAGCTCTATTATTGTTTCATGGAACAAATCTAAGGCTTAGTATGTTTATTATTCACATATAAAGGTGTGCCAAAACCTGTTCACTATGGTGAATACTTTTTGAATCAATATTTAGAGGTGATGGGTCTACATGGGAAAACCTCAGTCTTTCTGGGTCCCTTATCAAGTTATTCCCTGATAACTGATTATTAGGAGGGTATACTTCTTTGACTAAACCACGATTTTGGTTCAATAGCATCAACTATCTAATAAACTGTCTTGAAATCAAATTATACTGGGATAATGTGCAAAGATTACAGCAAGTCAGTCAGAGCTTTATGGATATTGTACAAACTTAAAACGAGGGGTTGATAAATGGCCTGTAAAGTTTTCTTTCAACTCTCCTTTTCTTAAGTCTGTATCGAAAGATTAATGGAAATCTCTCATTCTATCTGTAAGAGGCAAAAGAAAAACCCTCTTCTGAAAATCCATATATGGCTCTTATCACTCATATGAATAAGTGCAGAAATACTGTGAAATATGCATTAAAGTCCAATTCTTTGTAGAAGTTCAAGACAGATCATTTTTCCTATCATTAAGACAGAGATAGTTTTACTTCTTAAGTTATTATGACATTATGAGGAAAAGTACTTTCCTTGTGCTTTCATTGAAAACTACTGGTGAAAAATCAGTACTGCTATAAAATTCAGTGATTAGGAGCCTAGCCTGTGTAGTCAGAATGCCTGGATTCAAATCCTGGCTCTGTAATTTAGAAAGCTATGGGACTTTGGACAAGTCATTTAATTTCCTTGTACCTTAATTTCCTTATCTGTAAAATGGATATAATAACCTACCTCATAGTACTGTAGTGAGGATTAAGAAAGTTAATATGGATCAAGTGTTCAGGAGATGATCTGACACTCAAAAAGTATTAGTTGCTATTATTATCACACAATATATGCTTTAAAAAAATGAAAACCAACTATTATAAGTAACATAACTTATTAATCAAACTTAGAAATTGAAGGCAAAAGATTCATAAAATAGAAAACTTGGCAGATACTTTTCCAAACAAACTACGATTAGAACAACTTTCCTATTTAAAAATGTTTTGCAATAAGCTCAAAATAATAAGAAAGGTAACTCTTTTAATAAATATCTTTAAATGCCAACATCACATTTTGTTACACAAAATTTTTGTGTGTTCTAAAAGCTTTGGACAGAGTTCCCACCTTACCTTCCAGCTCGACCTTTTCTCTGTTTGGCATTAGCTTTACTAACCCACTCAGCGGACATTGTACTGATATTGTTCTGAGTATCAAAATGCGTCTCTTTTATTTTTCCTCCATCTATCACATAAACGACATCATCTATGGTAATGCTGTTTGGAAAACAGATATATAAAATGTTAAAACACACACACACACACACACACACACACACACACATCGAAAGCACTATTAACCTATAAAAGACCAATAAATAGGTATTTCAGAGCATTTTTTTTTTATTACATCAAATGATTTTAGCCATTCAGGATTTTCACTACTCTTCACACCCACATTACCAATATTATAGGGATCGAGTACCTAACAGTAGGCAGTGTCAGGCACTGTAAGTGACAGCACAGTATTAGTTCTTCAGATCATATACTAAATTCTTACTTGCCTACAGTCAAATATCACAGGTTGCCTCATACCTAGCACTATGGGAGCCCCAACAGCATGGTTTAATATCAGCTTCCAGAAAAGAATCTGTTTCAGTGACTAAACTACATCTTAGTACCTCCAAGAGAATACAAGAACATTTAAAGGCTGGATATAACTAATTACCAAATACTACCCCCAACCAGAAACAGGCGAAAGGACAAAATTTACCTCAGCTCCCATGCTTCTTTAGGAAAACAAAACAAACAAAAACCAACACCTAAAATGCTATTTCTGAGCTAAAGCATTACTATAGGTTAAAAAACCCCCACAAAACTGGCCATGCATGGTGGCTTAGGCCTGTCATCCCAGCACTTTGGGAGGTTGAGGTAATAGGATCATTTTGAGCCCAGGAGTTAGAGATCAGCCTGGGCAACATAGTGAGACTCCATCTCTACAAGAAATTTAAAAAATCAGACAGGTGTGGTGGCACAAGCCTGTAGTACAAGCTACTTGGGAGGCTGAGGTGGAAGGCTCACTTGAGCTGAGGAGATCAAGGCTGCAGTGAGCCATGATCGTGCCACTGCACTGCAGCATGGGTGACAGAATGAGACCTTGTCTCAAAAAAGCCCACAAAAAATAAAACTATGCTCACTGCCATAAAAAAGGTTTTATTTTTAATAAATTACAAGGTATATGGTAGAGAAAAAAGATTAAGGTATATAAACACGTTATGGTGTTTAAAACTTATGTAATCATCAGTATTTGATATTTAAAACTATTTTTACCTAGTCTCCGCAATGTTGGTAGCAATTACTATTTTCCGAACACCAGGAGGGGTTCTTTTAAACACCTGTAAAAATAAATACATCAGAATCACAAAAGTACACTAACTTCTAATACATTATATTTGTAATTAGAGGAATTACCTCAGATACTGTTCATTTTTAGCATTCTATGTTCATTCACTGACATATACATCTAATATTTATCGATGTATTTATGAAGTACAGATCATTTTCAATATTACAAAATTATCTTTTGGTAAACCACATTAAATCTCCCACAGATGTCACAATCTTATCACAAACAAGATTTCCAATGAGGTATCATTATTTAAATTTACAGCAGTTTTTTAACAAAAGCTGGAGGTTATAAAGTAGAGGGAGGGATATTTCTGTTAGGACAAGAATAATGAAGTCAAGTCTCCATGGGTAAGAACACTGAATAATCAGGCAGATGCCCAACCCAGCAGAACAAATGTCAACTGTGCAGCTGTACCAACCACTGTCTACTAGCTTGAGATCAGATTGGAGTGAAAAAAAAAAATCCTCTTTAAATGGAGAATTCTACAAATACTGCCCCACAACCCGACAATGTCACTAAAGTAGAAAGAAGATAGGTAATCAAGTACCACTGGCGATAATGCAAACAAACAAAAAGCAAAAACTTATCCCTTCATTTACAAAACTGGTAGTCAATACAGAAAATGTTTCCCAGGCTATTCACATACTCTCCAGCAAAGGAATACATAATTTACTAGGTTATGGTGTGGAAGATGAATACTTCCATGCTGGATACTCTTTCAGTCTTTGGAATCAAGAGTTTTCTTTCTTGCCCCCTCTCTTCTCTCAGGTATGTACTCTGTATCTAATTCATGACTAAGGTACCAGCAACAAAAATATTAAAAGGGTCTCAAAGAAAAGTATCTTGATATTTTCTTATAAAAAGAGAAAAGGATAAACTAGAAATGGGGGGAGGAGCAGGTTTTCTAATCAATTTCATTTTGCAAGAGCCTGCAAATACTGTAGATCATAACATTATCCTGCCTCTGAGAATGTAGTGTTCACTCTAATTAGGAAAGCGCCTGTATCTGATGGAGCCAAACATTCATAATACATTATTAAAACAGAAATTTTATACCTGTGAATATACTAGCTTTGTGAAATTAAATCTCAAATCATCATCAAACTGTAGTATGTCACAGATCATTAATTTCTAGGTTTGGTTACTTTTAGTAGTACTCACAGACCTTTTTCTCTTACTCAGGAAACTCAACGAAGTTACTGGTGAAACCAATTCTTTAAACTTTTTCCTAATGTAGACAAAACTAATCTGATTTGTGGGTTATCCGCTGATATTCAAGTTTTTGAGCAATCATCCCCTGAAGACTCATTTGCAAAGGTTCTCAAAGAAGTATTTTTTTACATGAATTACTATTTGAAAATACTCCTTAAAAAAAATAAAGGAAAACACGTAACAAGCAGTCCTTAAAGCTTGCCTCAGTTTGAAATACATTTAACAAATGTATCCATTTAACATACCTGTGTCTGGTTAACTGTAGGCATCAGTGAATGTAAAGGTATAATTAAAAATTTATCTGAAAATTAAAGAGAATTAAATTTTAAGATAAAGAGTTGCAGAAAAGCTCCATCAAACACATATGAGACAATGAATTCAGAAGCTGAACCACTCAATTCTTTTTTTGATAAGACATTGAACATTATTTAATGAAAACAGCTAAACCATCTGAGTTGACAAACTGCCCATGTGTTTAAGTGAACCAAAAATTCTTTATTTTTATTTCTACATACAAACAGACCAACTTAATTTCTTTATAGTCTTGTTTTCTGAGCGCTCCAAGTTCAAGCTAACATTTTGTTCTGTTAGTTTATTTCATATTGATAAGTATTTTCCCCAAATTCTTAAAGAATGCTCAAAAGTTGGGAGTAATCTTTTCAAATTACACCAATAAAAACTGAATGAATAGGCAACAATTCTGTTTAACATGAATACGTTTGTACACTTTGGGTGATCCTATTTTTTTGTTGTTCAGTCAGGGTCTCATTCTGTTGCCCGTTGCTGTGGTGTGATCTCTGCTCACTGCAACCTCTGCCCCCTGGGCTCAAGTGATCCTCCCACCTCAGCCTCCCGAGTAGCTGAGACCACAGGCATGCACAACCATGTTTGGCTAATTTTTGTATTTTTTGTAGAGATGGGGATTTGCCATGTTGCCCAGGCTGGTCTTGAACTCCCAAGCTCAAGCAATCCACCCACCTCAGCCTTCCGAAGTACTGGGATTACAGATTACAGGCATGAGCCCTGCACCTGGCAATCCTCACTATTTTAATCAAACCGATAATATCTAAATTTTTAGAGCAAATTACTTATTAAATACCCATGTCCTAGTTAGAAAATAATGAAATAGTCCTTGTTAAAAATAATACATTCCAGGCCAGGCGCGGTGGCTCATGCCTGTAATCCCAGCACTTTGGGAGGCCGAGGCGGGCGGATCACGAGGTCAGGAGATCAAGACCATCCTGGCTAACACGGTGAAACCCCGTCTATACTAAAAATACAAAAACTTAGCTGGGCGTGTTGGCGGGCGCCTGTAGTCCCAGCTACCTGGGAGGCTGAGGCAGGAGAATGGCGTGAACCTGGGAGGCGGAGCTTGCAGTGAGCCGAGATCGCGCCACTGCACTCCAGCCTAGGTGACAGAGCGAGACTCCGTCTCAAAAATAATAATAATAATAATAATAATACATTCCAAAAGTGACCCACATTTTACACATATTTTGTTAAAAATATAAGAAATTCCTACTTTTTAAGTTTCCAAATGAAATAGCTCAAGCCCATTCACAATTATTAGCCAACACAGAAAGTCTGGTGTAATACAGTGATGGGTGAAAGGGAGAGTATCAAGAAAGCAAGAGTTAATTTCACATTTAACTATGCTTACAAAAATACAATCTGACTTAAATGCCCAAATGATTCAAGTCAGCTATACTTCCCCAGAAAAGAACTGTTGTTATCTAAAGGATATGATGATCCCCATGGACTCTGACTGTGAAGAGATTTTACGAATCTTAAAAATAAAAAGTAGTGAACAGCTGCCAAGCAACTGATGTTGCTAAAAAAGAATCCTCTGAATTACTTGTCTCTGTGACAGTATGAAATATTACAACTATAATATTCAAGCCAAAAATACTTGAATTGAATCAAGCTTTCAGATATAACTTTCGAGTTACAGGAAATAAAGGTAAGAGAGAATCAAATGAAATGATAGCATAAAGAGTCACACAAATTCAGAAAGTTGGACTTATTAGAGAACAAATGGCCTGGTCTTTTCCATGACTTTACATTACCATGAGGAAAAGCAGGGAGTGGAGGGGAGCAATGTTCTAGAGCTAGATCAAAAGATGTTGACACTTTCTATAGTTTGAACAGGCTAGTTGTGAAAGACACTTTTCAGAAAAATGGGAAAATCTGATTACAGACTGGATTATCAGATGGTATTAAGGATTAGGTATGATAAAGACATGATGGTTATATAGAAAATTGCCTTTAGAGATTCTTGCTTATACATTTAGAAATGAAATGTGACAGCTGCAATTGACTTTAAGAAAAAACTAGGACTGAAAAAATAATTGTTGGCACTGAAGTCGTGGATTCATTAAGATTCTCTAGTTTTGGCTGGGTGCAGTGGCTCACGCCCGCAATCCCAGCACTTTGAGAGGCCAAGGCAGGTGGATTACAAGGTCAGGAGTTCAAGACCAACCTGGCTAAGATGGTGAAACCCTGTCTCTACTAAAAATACAAAAATTACCCAGGTGTGGTGATGGGTGCCTATAATCCCAGCTACTCGGGAGGCTGAGGCAGGGAACTGCTTGAACCTGGGAGGCGGAGGTTGCAGTGAGCTGAGATCGTGCCACTGCACTCCAGCCTGGGAAACAGAGCGAGACTCCACCTCAAAAAAAAAAAAAAAGTCTCTAGTTTTTTTGTATATTTAAAATGTTTCATTATAAAAAGTTTAAAAGTTAGCCAGGGATAATAAAAGTAAAAACAATTCTGTTGAAGACTATATAATTGGGAAAAAAAATTTATATTGTTGACACCATACAACTAAGAGAGTTAATGAGAACAAAATCTATACTCTTATGAAAAGAAAAAAACAAGAAATTGATAAGCATTTAATAAACTGAGTTTCAAAACTCAATTTCTCAGCACAGAGTTAGGCCAATTTTCTCCCCATGATAGTGGTTAACTATACAACTGATTATCAAGGCTAAATTTTTTTCAACATAATTTGAGAAAAAACACTCAAGTTCTGGAAAGATTTCCTTTAAAAGGAATTGAGCTGGTAGTGGAAGTGTATACATTAGCAACTCTTTCCTTGAGAATAATTAATTCAAACTAGAAAGTTAACGAAGTCAATTATAATAATCTATAATATACCCTTTTCCCACTCTCCATCACATACACTAAATGATAACGTTATATTTTGGTATATATCTTATCTTCATTGGTAAATATATGCACACACATTTTTTAAAATTATAAGTACACTATACAATAATGTTTATAATAATGGGGGAAGGAAAGGCCAGAGTTAGATTTAGCCAATAAAAAAATTCTAGTTGTTTGAAAAATTCAGCTGTCTAATCATGACAAATTTTTCTATAAAGTTATCACACAAAAAGAAAACAGAAAGCAGTATTTCTTTATAGAGAAGTCAATTAGATCAAAATACTTTGCAAGCTAGATAGTAAATAATTTTAATTACAGAGAATGCTTTCAGAGCATAACAGGATTTAACAAATAATAAATATATACATTTATTATTTTAGTCAATACAATTAGATCAAAATATTTTCTAGTGCCTATAAATTTTGTCTGGCTGGGCGTGGTGGCTCATGCCTGTAATCCCAGCACTTGGGAGGCCGAGGCAGGCAGATCACAAGGTCAGGAGATCAAGACCATCCTGGCTTACACAGTAAAACCCTGTCTCTACTAAAAATACAAAAAATTAGGCGGGCGTGGTGGCAGGTGCCTGCAGTCCCAGCTACTCAGGAGGCAGGGCAGGAGAATCTCATGAACCTGGAAGGTAGAGGTTGCAGTGAGCCGAGATCGCACCACTGCACTCCAGCCTGGGCAAGAGAGTGAGATGCTGTTTCAAAAATAAATTAATAAATAAATAATTAATTTTGTCAAAAGCACTTCAACAGAGTAGGGTTAGAAATTATATTCAGAGGCCACACGTGGTGGCTCAAGCCTGTAATCCCAGCACTTTGGAAAGCTGAGATGGGAGGATCACTTCAGGTCTGGAGTTCGAGACCAGCCTGGTCAACATAGTGAAACCCCATCTCTACTAAAAATGCAGAAAGTCAGCCGGGCATGGTGTCACATGCCTGTAATCCCAGCTACTCTGGAGACTGAGGCAGGAGAACTGCTTGAACAAAGGAGGCGGAGGTTGCAGTGAGCCGAGATGGCATCACTGCACTCCAACCTGGCAACAGAGCGAGACTCCATCTCAAAATAAAAAAATTATATTCAGAACTGTAAAAATTAAATAGAATTTTCTTTGTAGTTTTTATATTTGAAGTTAATGATTGCTGAAAATACTCTAAATTTTATAGAAAAAAAGGTTCTCATTCATTTCTCTAGAGTTTATATGTTTCAAAATATGCTGTTCATACAGGATCAAAATCACTTGAGGAATTTTTAACAACTTCAGATGTTCAGGTCGCATTCTTAGATTTGGGGTGATGATGGGGTCTAGGTATCTGAATCTTAAAGAAGCTCCATGGGTGACTCTGTTGTATACTCAGAATTCAGAAACACTGGGCCAAGGGATTTCTTTTTTGCAGCAGTAAGTGAAAAAATGAAAAACCTCACATACCTATGCTTTAAGAGCCAATTTTATTAGGCAAATTGTGAAAAAGAAAGAAAATATTCTCTTCATAATACTAAATAAAAAGCTTCACCTTCATCTGTGACCTAGTAGAAGCAACACTTCTTTGAATAAAAGAAAAAAATACACATCATATATAATTCAAATACCACTCTTTGAATTACAGTAAAATACATTTACATAGTACCTGATTTAAACATTACTTGTGACATCAAGAGATCATGTAAAGTGCTGATATTGTCCCAGCCTGGCAGAAAGACCAGTATCGCACCATCCTATATGAAGGGGAAATAACCATTACAAAGGATCACATCAACAAAATGCAGTAACAGTAAAATTGTGTGCACACTGAAGTCTCCATTAAAATTATACTAGCTCAGGATAATTTTCGTTAATAATTAAAAGTATATAAGCTTTTTTTTTTTAATTATTGTTTTTGAGAGAGTCTTGCTCTGTCACCCAGGATGGAGTACAATGGCATGATCTCGGATCACTGCAGCATCTGCCTCCTGGGTTCAAGTGATTCTCATGCTCGGCCTCCCAAGTAGCTGGGATTACAGGCCTGTGTCACCACGCCCAGCAAATTTTTGTATTTTTAGTAGAGACAGGGTTTTGCCACATTGGCCAGGCTGGTCTCGAACTCCTGGCCTCAAGTGATCCACCTGCCTTGGCCTCCCAGAGTGCTGGGATTACAGGCATGAGCCACTGCATCCAGCTAAGCTCACTTTTAAAAAATGAGATTTATAATCCATATATTTGTTTAGTCTTTTCTTCAAACAGGTCAAATGCCTAAATCTTTTGCTACTATGAGATGATTTCTAGTATCAAAAGTAATTTCTTCCAGTCTATTTCATAAGCATTTAAGAAAACTGTATTTTTCATGGCCTTGATACGTTAATAAAATTAAAATTATGTTAACTGAAGAAAGAAAAATAAAACTAACCTCTTCTTCCAAAACAATGTATCGGATGAGGGCAACAATCAAATTCAGATCAACTTTATCATCCTCCATCATTTCTATAACATCTACAGTACTTGCAGAATACCTATCAAAGTTAAACACAAAGTCATGAAATACTTAATCAAGTTTTCTGTTAACTTGCTACAAAAGCTTAAAATTAACTCAATCTGCAAATGGAGGAACATAATCTACAGATCGGAGAGAATTACTGGGGTAATTACTGCTTAAAAGTCAAATCAGCACAATATTTAGCTCGAATAAGAGACTCACAATGCTCTCCTTTAAGTACGTACAGATTCAAGAAGATGCCCCCAGCCTCTGGCTTTTTGTTTTATTTAGCCACTGATTTCTCACCTTCAGACAAAATAAACTTACCTTCTTCGCAGTTCCCTTACATAATCTGGCCAACGTTCTTTATATATTGCTTCTTTTTCTTCTTTTTCTTGTCTATTTACATGCCCTTGCATGAAACCCCTCTTAAACTGGGATCTGTGTTCTTTTTGTTCTGGAACATACCTAAAATAAAAACATTCTTGAATATCTTCACTTTTTTGAAACTCTAGTTTTAGCTAAAATCTGTGACATTTTATATTTAGGATTTTCAAAAAGGATTCCAAAGAACATTTTCATTATGCTTTCAAGTGAATGCTAGCTAAAATATCAGTTTGTGTTCATTAACTTATAAAACCTGATATTTTGGATAAAAATCATTCTTCTTTATTGAAGTATATAAACCTATAGATCATTTTTAGTCAAAAATTTAGAAAAAGACTAAAGTAAGTAACTTTTACCTTCTATTTTAAGTTTGCTTTAGAACAAAAGTTAATATTAATGTTAAGTCCAAACCTGACTGCACGTAAGAATTGAATCCCTCAGAGAGCTTGTAAAATACAGACTCCTAAATCCCATCCCTGATGATTTGGATTTGGTAGGTATGCCTTGGGTCTGTTAATCTAAGAATTTTAATTAGTGCCTGCAGGAGATTCAGATAGTGTATCCAGATCTACAGACCCACGCTAGAGAACTATTTAATTCTGCTCAGTCACACAGTTGTAGTTAATGGCAGATCCAGAATCAGTATTCAAGTCTCTCATATGTCAATTGAGTGCTGTACTATGATTCTACTACCATCCTGTAGTGATTGCTAAAACCATAGAGGGCGCATCTGGACAATAATTCTACCTATCATTGTCAGTCCTGAGAGGCACGAGGTGGGAAAAGACAAAAATGAACCCACACTTTAACCCCAAGGCATCTCTGAGCTCAACTAGAGGACAGCATCTAGATGGAATGGGGGAGGGGCTGGAGCATGGACTCCCAAGTCAGAATATCCCTCCTCTGCTACTGACTAGCTGTGTAACCTTAGACAAGGCATTAAACATCTGGCCTTTAGTTATCTTATTTGAGAGATTAATGTTTGTAACAGTACTGGCATGAGATTTTTAAAAATGTGATAAAGTAAAAAAAAAAAAAAAAGTGATAAAGCCTCATGTATAGCACAAAGAGTGCTTCCCTAAGAGTGAAGAACATAGTACCAAAAGAGGAACTATTGTATTAGCACAGGAGAGATAGTAAGGACCTTAGCAAAGAAATAAAAATGAGAAAGCATGTTCAAGAAGAAAGTTCCCAGAGTTTGTGTGTGTTTGAAGGCAGTACAAAATGACTTGGATTAACTTGGTTACTCACTGTGTAAAACAGTTGCCATACCCTGGTACATAACTGCCTGATACACACTAACTTTTTGATTTATAGGTCAGAAAACTAAGTGGAGGATAATTATTAACCATTATAAAGTATGCTGGGCAAGACACATTGTTTTATTTTTTTGGTGGGAGAATATAAGATAATGATTTAGGCTTGAGAAATGTTAGGTTCAAGGCATCTGTGGTACTAGAATACTATTGAGCAGAAAGCCAGTTCGAAGGTCAGGAGAAGCTTCAGTTCTGAAGCTACACTACTGAAAGCTGTGAAAATACAGAACTACAGTTAGGGATATAAACAGGTTTGCACAGTGAAAACATAAATGATTGAGAAGACTGGGGGAAATTATATTTAAAGGTTCGGCAATGGAAGCCAACAAAGGAAAGTGAAAATCAGGCAGGAGAACCAGCAAAAGGGTTCAAACACTAAAGACAAAGGTTCCCAAACTTTGCTGCCCAGGAATCTTCAAAAAACACTGACACCAGCCAGGCGTGGTGGCTCACACCTGTAATACCAGGACTTTGGGATGCTGAGGCAGGCAAATCACTTGAGGTCAGGAGTTTGAGACCAGCCTGGCCAACACGGTGAAACTAGTTTCTACTAAAAATACAAAAATTAGCTGGGCATGGTGGCACACACCTGTAATCCTAGTTACTTGGGAGGCTGAGGTGGGAGAATCACTTCAACCTGGAAGGCGGAGGTTGCCGTGAGCGGAGATAGCTCCACTGCACTCTAGGCTAGGCGACAGAGAGAGACTCTGTCTCAATTAAAAAAAACCACGGATGCCTGGCTACTACCTCAGACACTGTAATGTAATTTAGGTAGGGAGTATAAATCAGGCATCTGGATTTTAAAAAGCTCCAGGCAATTTTAATGTGCAGCCAAGTGTGGCTAATTCCCAGAAAAATGTTTTACAAGGAAATAGTCAATGATGGGTTTCTGAGACTAAAGTTTGACATGAGAAAAGTGATATATTAGTACTTTTTAATGTTTTTTATTTCCTAATGTTTACTTACCTTATTTTTTCAATTACATCTTCCAAAAGATATTCCACAACCGGAAAGGTAAAACCAGGTATATGTATCATTGGACAGTTACCTATTACGGCAGACAAAATATAAGCATAAATTTGTACTCAAATGTTAAAAACATTAATATACTGTAAATAGGACAATGACTCTATTACTTACTATTAATTCCAGAAAATGGTCCTGTAGCTTTTACAATTCTACCCTACTTTTCCACACCTACTTTAATAAAAAACAGCAGTCTAGTCTTCACTCAATACCATTTTACTGCTACCAAACTGTACACACATCTCACAGTTCTACAAAATAACACAGAATATCAAAGAATAGAGTTTTAAGTTGAACTCAAAATCCATTAGTTAGAAGTCTATTTTCTCTTCATCATTAACCCAGATGGTGCCATAATAGAATATCCAGAATATCAAAGTTTTACTGAATTCTAGATAAGCATTACTACTTGTAGCACCCGGAATTAGCGGAGAAAGGTAATCAAAACAAAACCTAAACAAATAGATTGTTACTATTTCAAAATTACTAATAAAAAAATCACTTCGGTACTGTTATTTAAATGCTCTTTACATTTCATAACAAGCGAAACAAGCAGTACACACTGTAAAAAGCAAACATCACATCAGAGGTCAAAATACCTAAGTAGGTATCACTGCTCTACCCATGATGTGCACACATTTGAGCAAAGTACTCAATGTTAGTTCTAGAAGTCTCATTTAAAAATAACAATAATAACACCTACCCCAACTAATCTTACATGGTTTTCAGTATTAACTGGGATGTATTTTAAAGGACTTTTAAAAAGCTGATGACAAGAACATTTATTAAACATAAATATATTACATTGTAATTCCCTCCCTTTCCCCCTCCTTCCTTCACAAGTATAAGCAGGAAAGACAGTGAGGATTAATTTTAAAAGAATGTGCTTTTGCAGCTGGTCCAATCTAGCTTCAGCTTGGGAAACCTACTTAACTGCTCTGAGGCTGCTTTCTCATCTGTAAAAATGTGAATGATAATAGCAACTACCTCATAAAGTGTTATAAAGACTAAGGAAGACAAAGTGGCAAATATACTACCTGGAACATTGAAGGTGTTCCATAAGTGGTCACTAGCAGTATTAGCAGCAAACTGCCACCCTAACCTGTGATAAAAGCCACAGAAAAACAACAGAAAGAAGTTTATAAAATTATGCAAATCTGTGGTTTGACTTCAATGATGCCATCTTAATTGTGTGGTGGTAGCAACAAGAAGCTACCTGTCCTCACTATGAGAGATGATGCCACCATTTAAAAATAGACCCAATTGTCTAATCCATGAAACTGGAGGGTAGAATAATATTAAAATAAAATTAACAGCTAAACATTCATTTTGACTACTCTTTACCTAGTACCATATTAATTTTTTTAATTGTTTTTCTAGTACCTTTTCTAATGTAATAACTATACATTTTACTCACCAAAATATTCTGAAAACTTTTCTGCATTCAATGTTGCACTCATCAATATTACTTTCAAGTCAGATCGAAAATTGAGAAGGTCTTTAACAACAGTCATTAAAACATCTGACTGCAGATTTCTTTCATGGATTTCATCAAGTACGATATGACTAACACTGGACAAATACCTAAGGCAGAAGTGTGAAGTACAAAATTTTAAAACCATTTTTCTTTAACAACTAGTAAAATCCAATTTAATAATTACATCTTTTGATAACACTTATATTTCCTTAATTGAAACATACTCACGGGTCTGACTGGAGCCACTGAAGGATGATTCCTGTTGTACAGTATAAGATAGAACCCTGTTTCCTTGGCAACCGACTGTGAATGAAAGACATGAATTAATAAGCCTTGGTTTTCTCTTCTAATAATTAACTACCACAAAGGTTTATATCTTCAATTTTAGAAATGCTTTCAGTTTTAATGAAAATCTTCACACTTAATTTTTTACTTATAAGAACACCTACCACAATGGGGTAATGGGAAATACTTCAAGTTCATTATACATTATCTTTGTTGTCATTGATATAATGTTAATTTCTTTTAAAAGATACGACCATTCACATTCAGACAACAACTGAATTACTTATGGGGCCTAAATATTTGGTTCGTAATTGGAAAGCTCATTTGAAAAGGCAAATGTGTCAGGCATGGTGGCTCAGGCTTGTAATCCCAACACTTTGAGGCCAAGATGGGAGGGTTGCTTGAGCCCAGGAGCTCAAGACCAGCCTGGGCAACACAGCGAGATCCAGGCTCGAAAAGTAAAAAAATTAGCCAGTTGTGGTGGTGTCCGCCGGTAGGCCCAGCTACTTGAGAGGCTGAGGTGGGAGGACTGCTTGAGCACAGGAGTCTTCGGCTGCAGTGAGTTGACTGCACCACTGCACTTCAGCCAGAGCAACAGAGTGAGAACCTATCTCTAAAAAACATTAAGTAAATTAAAACATAAAAAGGCAAATGGAGTCCTAAGCTCCAGAAAAGGACCAACTATGTACTGCACAGTGGAGTTGGATAGGGGGTTAAGATATCAAAATCAATAAAAAGTCAGTCGGAAGTATATGGAGGTGGTACTGAAAGGTCTACACAATCTTTTCAGAGAGAGTAATGGTCTACTAATCTATGTCCAGGAAAAATGTTTATTTTTCTAATCATTCCAAATATAAAAGCATCATTTAAAAAAGGCAATACAAGTCTGATGTGGGGTTAAAAGATAAATTTGTGGCAGCAAGTCATCTACGCTGCAGTTACTTTAAATGGTAATTGTAATAGTAATAACCATCATAAAAATGGGGAAAATATCCTTTCTTTTGAATCTCCAGCTTCAAAGTTTCACTAAAATCTGCCTGTATATAAGAAGTGAACATTTCTTACCTCTGGAGACGAATTTGATATCCAGTACTATTACCACTGCCACAAGATTCTGCCCTTTCTGCAGCTACTCTTTCCGCAACCTTTAATTCAAATAAAACATAAAGAGAATATAATTTCCTTTAGAACAAATATCCTGAATGTCCATGAAAATCTAGGACTGTTGAAAAATTGTTCTTCAGATTTCTAAATGAGTTAAAAAAATAGATATTAAAATCTGAGGTATCTAAAACAGTGTGTGCCTCTCTTAAGAGCTGTTTATTTTTCATTTCCTCTTATAAAGTCTTTTAAGGCCAAGTTCTCTCATCACTAGTTTCAAAGTGCCTTTCTATAGCATCCTCTCATTAATTTATACTTTTCTGGTCTTTTCTAAGAGTTGTAAATCAAGATCTAAACTTGTAGAAGTTATGTGTAATTTGAAAGTAATTACATATTGATACTCTTCCCTTGTGTTTTTGTTTGTGGTAGGGACTGGTGTTGAATTTCTAGTTCTTGGTCATGTTTTGAAAGTTATGACTGCCAAAAATAAGATTTGGAAAGATGAAATGTTATAATCTAATACTGATTTGTACAACTAAAAGTAACCAACAGTTATTCTGTGACAGAACAGTGATAATAAGGTATTAGAAATAGAAAATGGCATAATTTGTAAGAAATAATACTTTACAAGTAAAACTTTCCAATAAGTATATCTAGTATACACTGACAGACCACATTAACCTGTCTACTCAAATTCCAACAGATGGTGGAAAAAAGAAGAGAAAAATTACCTACTTAGCATTTCTTCCTACTATCAGCATATACAGTAACTGCTATATATTAGTGAAAATATTTAAGTCTAGCTACAAAAGTGTGTTATGACAAAAGTGGTTTATTTTTCACCATTCTGTAATTTTATGCAATTTCCTGGAATATAGTCCCCATAAAAGGGTGAAGACTACCTGAAACTGAAACTACTAGAAGAAAACCTAGGGAAAAACTCCTTTGGACATTGGTCTAGGCAAAGAATTTATGACTAAGACCTCAAAAGCACAGGCGACAAAAATAAAAATAGACAAATGGGAATTAACTAAGAAGTTTCTACACAACAAAAGAAATAATCAACAGAGTAAACAGATAATTTCCAGAACGGAAGAAAATATGTGCAAACTATTCATCCAGCAGTGGACAAATACCCAGTATATACAAGAAACTCAAACAACAACAATAAAAGACAAATCATCCCCTTAAAAGGAGGGCAAAAGACAAGAACAGACATTTTTCAAAAGAAGATATACAAATGACTAACAGGTATATGAAAAATGCACAACATCACTAATCATCAGAGAAATGCAAATTAAAACCACAATGAGATATCATCTTACCCCAGTCAAAATGGCTACTATTAAAGAGTCAAAAAATAATAGATCTTGGCCAGGACATGGATAAAAGAGAACTCTTACATACTGTTGGTAGGAATGCAAATTAGCACAGCCTCTATAGAAAACAGTATGGAGATTGCTCAAAGAACTAAAAATAGAGCTATCATTTGATCCAGCAATCCCACTGCTGGGTTTCTACCCAAAGGAAAAGAAATCAATGTGTCAAAAAAAAAAAAATACTTGTCTTGCATGTTTATCACAGTACTATTCATAACAGTAAAGATACGGAATCAATCTAAGTGCTCATCAATGGATGACTGGATAAGGAAAATGTGGTGTATATATACACCACAATGGAATACTATTTAGCTGTAAGAGTGAAATCATGTCGAAATAGACACAAAAAGACAAAATATCATATTTCACATAAGTGGGTGCTAAAAACCAGGTATATGTGGACATAGAGTGTGGAATGGCAAACGATGGAGACTCAGAAGAGAAGACAGGAGGAGGACAGATGATGAGAAATTACTTAATGGGTACAATGTATATGATGTGGGTGATGGACAACCTAGAAGCTCTCACTTAACCACTACACAACCTATGCATGTAACAAAATTGCACTTGTATCCCATAAATTTACACACTTCTTTTTAAAAAGGGGTGAAGTCTACTGCTCTTTCTTTATAGTACTTCTTAGAAACCAAAGCTTAAAACATATACTGTATTTACTGCCAAGTGCTGTCATAATTGGTAATGTTTTTAACCACAGATTCTATATTAAATGACTTAGACATGTGATAAGCAGCACTGCCATAAAACCAAAGACAAACACAAATCTTTATAATTTATACACAGAATTATATAGCATAAATAAATTCACTATGCACACTGAAATATGACAAGAAACCCCAAACACCTTTAAAAAATATATAACTCACATATTTAACTAGGTCATCTAACTAAAAACGATGACGACAACAAAATCAATGTACAGGCTGAGTATTCCTTAGCCAAAATGATCAGGACCAGAAGTGTTTCCGGTTTCTATTTTGGAATATTTGCATTATACTTGCCCTTGTTAAACATCCCAAATCTGAAAATTCAAAATGTGAAATGCTCTAGTGAGCATTTCCATTTTGCTACTCAAACAGTTCTGGATTTGGGAGCATTCTGGATTTCGTATAGTCAACCTGAACTAAAAGTTACTTATAAACTGTTACTTAAGTATGCCTTCCCAAAATTTTGGACTTGACAAACCAGAAACAATACCTTATTTTTCCTCATAAATTTCCTCTTACTGAGTAGCTGCATTCAAAAATGACTGACTATGGCTGGACACAGAGACTTATGCCTGTAATCCCAGCACTCCGGGAGGCTGAAGTGGGCAGATCGCTTGAGCCCAGTAGTTCGAGACCAGCATGGGCAACATGGCAAAACCCCATCTCTACAAAAAATACAAATATTAGCCAGGTATGGTAGCACATGCCTATAGTACCACCTACTTGGGGGGCGGAGGCAGGAGGATCACTTGAACCCTAGAGGTTGAGGCTGCACTGAGCCGTGTTATCACCACTGCGCTCCAGCTTAAGTGACAAAATAAGACCCTGTCTCAAAAAATAAATAAATAAATCACTGACTACAGAAATGCAGCTTAAAAAAAAAAACAAGGTTTCCCACTTTCACCACCATTCAGTGTATTTACATACTCAAAAAATGACAGAAGTAAAAAAAAAAGTTAAATAAACCAAGTAGTAAAATTTAAAGAATCAAATGATGGAGATTATTTGAAGCTTGTAATCAATTCTATAAATATTTTATCTATTTCATTCTTGTGAACATGTACTGAAATTTGCCTGGATATCAATTTTATCTTGAATTCATAAATATCTATTATCTGTTAAGAGAGAGGTTACTCAATTTTTTGGGCTTTATTATTAAACATGTTAAGCAACTATTTGCTTTCATAGTCACCAATCCTAAGCCTAATTAAGAATCACTCCACACCTTCAGAATCAGTAGGTTCTAGCAAGATTACTTTTAAAAAGACAATTTTTAATAAGTTAAGAGATTACTTACTGAAATGGCACTAATTCTTCTTGGCTGAGTACAAACTATTCTGCAAGCAGATCCTTTTCCTCTTTCAATGTAGTTATCCAAAATGAACTGAGTAACTTGAGTGGTTTTGCCACAACCAGTTTCACCACTTATTACTGTTACCTGATGGTTATCAATTAAATTTACCAATTCCTATTTCAAAAGGGAAAATAAAGAATATCACATGTTGACTAAGTCTGAAAAAAGATATTAATCAAAATTCGACCAAACTGAACATAGCTATTTTTAACAAACATATTAATGCTTTCTAAATTTTGCCATATCCAATACTGGCAGTTTGGATATCTGGATCTACCAACCTGCAAGAGATAAGTGCACCAAATTATAAAGAACAAAGCCAAAGCACTGTTAAAGAAAAACATATTGACATAAACAAGAAGAGACAGCTTATAAGTTCCATGGAGAAGAATTAAAATAATGTTGATATGTGGGGCTACTGAGTACAGAAGCAAACTCCTGGCCTAAACAACTATTGAGGACATTACAAATTTATATAATTCATAAATATGGCTTTGTCTGCAGAACAAGTTTTGTATGCCATTTTAGGAGCAAGGAAGAGAATATTGTATTTTAAAATTACTTCCTTTCAAATAATTAAAATAAAGTCATTGAATATCTAAACCAAAGCTATCTAGAAAACCTCATATTTGGGTTTCATTCTTCCTCAAAATTGTATACATTAATATTTTTAATAATAATATTCACTGTATAAACGAAGTCATCTTACTACCTCAAAGGGATGTTAGGGGTTATTTTCATGTATAAAACAATTTAACTTGAAAACCTACCTTTTAAAAATTCCCCACTTAGGCCGGGCATGGTGGCTCATGCCTATAATCCCAGCACTTTGGGAGGCTGAGGTAGGCGGATCATGAGGTCAGGAGATTGAGACCATCCTGGCCAACATGGTGAAACCCCATCTCTACTAAAAACACAAAAATTAGCTGGGCGTGGTGGGTGCCTGTAACCCCAGCTACTCGGGAAGCTGAGGCAGGAGGATCGCTTGAACCCGAGAGTCGGGAGTTTGCAGTAAGCCGAGATTGCGCCACTGCACTCCAGCCTGGCAACAGAGCAAGACTCCCTCTCAAAAAAAAAAAAAAAAAAAAAAAAAAAAAATATATATATATATATATATATATATATATATATATATATATATATGTATATACATATATATATATTCCCCACTTATTCTAACACATTATACATACATAGATGTGTATATATCAGAAAAAGTTTTAAGTTTGAACACTGAAATTATAGCTGGTAAATACTCAGAAGTGAAATGTGATTCATCCAATCAGAAGTTTATTTACTGGAAGTCTTTAGAATGCCAGGCACTGTTCTGAGTCAAGAGACACAGAGTGAACAAAACAAATCCTATCCTCAAGAACTTACACTGGCCTGGGAGGGGAAGACAAACAGATGTCAGGTGGTAACAAGTGCTATGAAAAGTAAAAAATAAAGTAAAATAAAATAAAATAAGGTTGAGAAAACAGAGAAGGATGAGAGATCCTATTATTCTACATAGGGTAATCATATGTTAAGATATAGTGTAATAAATTAAAATTAACTGTATTTTTAGTAGTACTTTTTTTGTACATTGATTTTAATTAATACAATAATTTGTATATTATTTTTAACTGAAGTATTTGGTCTTGACTTAACTGCAAGGTATTTATCCAAACTAACTTATAGGAGGAAATTTTACTTTTTAAATTTCAAAGATTTCAATTATGGACAAAAACAGGAGCAAACATGAGGAAAATTGTTTATGAACCTTTTTTTTCTTTTTGTCCTTAATTCAAAAGAATAAAATTAACTTCCAATACTATCCTGTAAAAGAAAGTTCATTAATTTACATTTTTTCTTGATATAGAGCTTTAAAAAAAATTGTGTATTTAATTTGCAAATCAAATTAAATAGTGGAAAAAAGCACTTTA